>NC_000004.12:83466835-83618350 GCF_000001405.40 Homo sapiens | reverse complement strand
GTTTTTGCCTTTGTCATTGTTGTGTCCTCAGACCTAGAACAGCATACGAATTGTAAGCACCAAATATAGGTGTTTTCCTTTATAAAGCTAGAGAAACAATGATTTGAAAACTTGCCCAACTCTAACCTGTGATCCCTAATTGACTTGTGTAATCAGCAAGGATATATCTTAACTAAGCCAAGACATACAATTGTCAAAGATTCTCAAAAAAGTTTAAATTCACCTATTTGTATAAGAAATATATATATTTCACCTTGAGAGGAGACTAACTGGTTCTGCTCTTTGAGCTATCCACTCCCTGATCACAGCTTTAGAGGGCAAACGGATTTGAAATGTTTTAGGTCACCAAGATAGAGTATACATTTTTTATTCTCAGAGTTTTCCAAGACATCTTTTCCGGACACAGAGCCAAGAGGCCAGCAAGTAGCCAGAATTACTATATGCGTCTCACAACAGCAGGGAGTGCTCATAGCAGGAATTTATGACCATGGAGGGCCATCAAAAGCCTTGATGGGATCCTCAGCCTAGGCTGTAACACGTGCAGCCTGAAAACTCACCACCCACCCACAATGCCAAGAACACCAATGACCTGGTGGCTTCTTTCAGCTGACTTCCTGCTGTCGGGTTTTTGTATTCTCCACCAACACCAAAATCTTCCAGTTTTCCCTGTGTTAGTCCAGATCTCCTATAAATCACTTTATCTTACAAAACCTTTCAGCATTTAATTTGCAAATGAACAGTAATGATTCTAAAGGAGAGGCTTTTCTCCTTATATTTAAATAATGGCTTTAACCTAGAGTAAAACACTCAGAGAAACTTCTTTTTAAATTTAAAGTTGTCTCCTTCTAGAACTTTTATTTTTTGCAACAAGAACTCACTCTCTTCCTATATGATAAAAGAAAATGATTTTGAATGCTTCTGTAACTAGCAAGAAAGTTAGGACTACTCAAGTCAGAGACTAAAGGAAGATCGATTCCCAGAGGAAAAAGCAGAGCAGAGAGCCCAGCAGTTGTCATTTACTTTGCAGGCATTGGCTGAACCAGGCAAACTCTAGCATTGGTTTCTAGAGCCTTAAGGGCCTAAGGGACAAAAAACAAAATTGAAGTCCTGCCCAAGATGGAAAGTCTAACTACAGTCTTCCTTTGAAGGTGAAATATCAAAGGACTATAACCTCTGTGTAACAGTAAAGTAGAAAGGGCCAGGTGCAGTGGCTCATGCCTGCAATCCCAGCACTTTGGGAGGCCGAGGCGGGCGGATCACCTGAGGTCAAGAGTTCGAGACCAGCCGGACCACATGGAGAAACCCCATCTCTACCCAAAAAAAATACAAAATTAGCCAGGCATGGTGGCGCACACCTGTAATCACAGCTACTCTGGAGGCTGAGGCAGGAGAATCGCTTGAACCCGGGAGGCAGAGGTTCCGGTAAGCCGAGATCACGCCATTGCACTCCAGCCTGGGCAACAAGAGCGAAACTCCATCTCAAAAAAAAAAAAAAAGAAAAGAAAAAAAAAAGAAATAATCCATCCTCCAATCTCAAATGTAAGCAAGGCAAATTGCTTGTGTCAAACCTTACTGATAAGTGAAAGGGAAAAATAACTTTCCCCTAAAGATTTAAAACTACTTGGCAATTAAAAAGAATGAATTACTTATAAATACAATGTGGATTTATCTAAAAATAGTACACAGATCATTCAAAACCACAATGGCTCACCTTTGGATTTACAGACTGAATTCTCACTATTTCCATAGCCCGATAACCTCAAGCCAACAATATAGTTTAAAGTAGTACCAGATTGATAGTGCCCTAGAGCTGGGGTGGGCAACCATATCAGATGAAGAAGCAGATAGTAAACATTTTAGGCTTTGTGGGCCATGCAGGTCACTATAGCAACTACTCAACTTTGCTTTTGTCATGCAAAAGCAGCTATAGGCAATATATAAACAAATGCTGTCTTGCAATAAAATTGTATTTACAAAAACAGACAGAGGGCAGGATTTGGCCTACAAGCTTTGGTTTGCTGATCCCTGCTCTCCAGGTCTAAGAGAGGATAAAATTCCAAAGATGATAATTATTAAAATTCTCTAAACACACAAAGACTCTATGAACAAGAAGCAGCAGAAAAGATAGACCCAGACCCTCAAAAGATATAAGATTTTGGAGTTGTTGGGAAAAACATAAAATCAATAAGCATAAGGTACTTCAAAACTATGTGAGAGTAATCACATTTGAAAAAGAATTAGATATAACTCTTACAAATGAGAAATAAGGCTGGGCGCAGTGGCTCATGCCTGTAATCCTAACACTTTGGGAGGCTGAAGCAGGCAGATCACCTGAGGTCAGGAGTTCGAGACCAGTCTGGTCAATATGGTGAAACCCTGTCTCTACTGAAAATACAAAAAAAAATAGCTGGGAGTGGTGGTGCATGCCTGTAATCCCAGCTACTCAGGAGGCTGAGGCAGGAGAATCGCTTGAACCCAGGAGGCAGAGATTGCAGTGAGCCAAGATTGTGCCACTGCACTCCAGCCTGGATGACAGACGGAGACTCAGTCTCATAAAAAAAACAAAGGGAAATAAAGGACATCAACAAAATGGTTAACTAGAGTTGCCTGGCACATATCCCTCCCAACAAAAAACAACCAAAACAACAAATAACAACTAACATTCAACTGTAGTGTCTGAGGGACAGCACTGGAGTGCAGAAAGGGACTGGTGAAATCCCTGTGGAGCACAGAAGCCCAGGATGTCAGCAAAAAGAGGGGAGCAAGGCACCCTGCCCCTGCCACCCCATCTCTCCCATTGAGATTGGCTCAGATCCAGGAGGGACTTCTCCATATGGGAAAAAGGTAAGCAGAAGGCCCCCACATGCCTGAACTGCCACTGCAGATTCCTGTAGTACTTACTATAGAAGAATCCCACAGTCCTCAAAAGCCCTTAGCCCAGTTTGCGGAGCTGCTTGGAATTAACATAGCTGCGTTACTCCAGAGTAGGAACACAAGGTGTGCACTCCCCACCCCAATCAACCCCAGTGAGCCAAGCTACTGCAGGACTGTGCCATCTTGAAACTGGAACCACTGCTAGAGTCCACCCTGCTCTGGGGTCCAGCAGCCACTGCATGTCTCCAGCCTTGAGTCTCTGCCATTATTTTACCAAGTCCACACAGGTGGCTGCAATACCACAACGCTGTCTGCTTGGAGCATGGGGCCAGGAACAGCCATGACTTCAGCATTGCACAGCAGGAAAGCCAACCCTTGGCTGGCTGAACTAAATAGTCCAATGGACCTTCCCCCAGAAAGTCCCCCTTCTTGGCACTCACTACCAAAGAAACAGCCTGACAAACCTGCCCCTGAGACAAGCCACCGAACTACTGCACATCCATGTCCCAGCTGGAGAAGCAACAAGGTGAACCCACCTCCAGCAGAAACATTCCTGGTGGACCCACTCCCAGGTCCACCAAGCATCTGTATCCCTGCACCCATGGCCAGCGAAACTGCATGGAAAATTCACCCCCAGCAAGCCAGTCACCAAACCAACCAACCCACTGCACACTTATGCCTCTGGCCAGAGAAAAAGCTCAATGGTCCCATCCCCGCAAAGATGCACCACTGCCACCATAGATTCTCACAGCCTAGGCCACTGAGGTACTCACAAAGATCATTAATGTGGATTATAGCCAAAGAATCTTAACAGGTTAACAGACTACACTACTGTGTCCACCCAGAACCAAGGCCAACTCAACTTACCCATTGACACCATATGACTCACCTACAGGAATGACTCTCCCTACCAAAGGTACTCCATAAAATTGGAAGAGGCAATTGTTTCAGCAGATACACAGGTATCAACATAGAGATACAAGAAAATGAAAATGCAAGGAAACATGACACTTCCAAAAGAACATAATAATTCTCCAATACCAGCTCCCCCACCAAAAACAATTTACAAGATGCCAAAAAAGAAATTCAAAATAATGAGTTTAAGAAAACTTGGTGAGATGCAAGAGGATACATATAGACAATTCAACAAAATCAGGAAAACACTTCGTGATCTGAATAGGAAATTTAACAAAGAGATAGATAGAATAAAAGAAACAAACAGAAATCTTGGAGCTTAAGAACTCAATGAATGAAATAAGAAATACAACCGAGACCTTCAACAAAAGACCAGAGCAAGCAGAAGAATTTCTAAACTTGAAGACAGGTCTTTTGATATGACCCAGGCAGACAACAACAAAAACAAAAGAATAAAACAGAATGAAGAAAGACTACAGGATTTACAGGGCATCATAAAGCAAAATAAAAATTCACATTATGAGAATTTCAAAAGGAGAAGTGTGTAAGTCCATTTCGCGTTGCTGTAAATAAATACCTGCGGCTGGGTCTTTTATAAAGAAAAGGGGTTTATTGCTGTACAAGAAGCATGATACCTGCATCTACTTTTGGTGACAACCTCAAGAAGCTTTTACTAATGGTGGAAGGCAAAGGGTGCCAGCATGTCACATGGTGAGAGAGGGAGCAAAAAAGCAATGGGAGGAGTGCCATGCCTTAAACAACCAGCTCTTGTATGAACTAATAGAGTAAGAACTCATCCATTACCATGGGAAGGGGACCAAGCCATCATTCATTACCATGGGAAGGGGACGAAGCCATTCATGAGGGATCACCCCCACTAACCAGACAACTTCCAATAGGCGCCACCTCCAACATTAGTGGGGATGGGTCACATTTCAACATAAAATTTGGGGAAGACAAATATCCAAACTATAGCAAGAAGAGATGGGAAAATACATAGAAAACCTATTTCATAAATTAATAGCTGAAAACTTCCAAGGTCTTGGGAGGGATAGAGACATCCAGATCCAAGGAACTCAGAGATTCCCAAATAGATTCAACCCAAAAAGGTCCTCTGCAAGGTGCATATAGTCAAACTGTCAAAAGTCAAAGACAAAGAGAATTCTAAAAACAACAAGAGAAAAATATCAAGTCACATACAAGGGAATTTCCATTAGACTAATAGCATAGTTATTGGCAGAAACCTTACAGGGCAAAGAGAATGAGGCAACATAGTTAAAGTGCATTAAGAAAAAAAAAAAACTGCCAGCCAAGAATACTATACCCAGGAAAGCTATCCTTGAAAAATGAAGTCCACAAACCCTTTCCCAGAAAAGCAAAAACTGAGAGAATTCATCAACACTAGGCTTGCCTTAAAGTAAATGCTTAAGGGAGTTCTACATCTGGCAGCAAAAGAACAATAACTAGCATCATGAAAACACATGAAAGAACATGAAAGCATAAAACTCACTGATACACCAGACATACAAAGGAGAAAGAGAAATAAATCAAATCTTATCACCACATAAAACCACTAAACTTCAAAGATAAATGATAAGAGAGAAAGAAAAGAACAGGGGCTATACAAAGCAATTAGAAAATGATTGACAAGATGACAGGAATAAAGTCCTCACCTGTCAATAATAATCTTGAACTTAAACAGATTAAATCCCCTAATCAAAAGATATACACTGGCTGAATGGATTTTTTTAAATGACCCAACCATATACTGTCTACAAGAAACTCACTTCACCTGTAAAATACACATAAATCAAAAGTGAAGGGATAGAAAAAGATATTCTACACAGAAACCAAAAGTGGGCAGGAATAGCTATAGTTATATCTGATAAAATAGGCATTAGGTAAAAAAACTATTTTAAAAAAAGGGACAAAGGGCCAGCCATGGTGGCTCATGCCTGTAATCCCAGCACTTTGGGAGGCTGAGGCAGGTGGATCATGAGGTCAGGAGATCAAGACCATCCTGGTCAACATGGTGAAACCCCGTCTCTACTAAAAATACAAAAATTAACTGGGCATGGTGGCGCGTGCCTGTAATCCCAGCTACTCAGGAAGCTGAGGCAGGAGAATCGCTTGAATCTGGGAGTCAAAGGTTGCAATCAGCCAAGCGCACCGCTGCACACCAGCCTGGCAACAGAGCGAGACTCCGTCTAAAAAAAAAAAAAGAAGGTTATTATTTACTGATAAATGGATAAATTTTGCAACAGGATATAACAATTATAAATGTATATGTACCCAACCCTAGAGTACCCAGATATATAAAGCAAATATTATTAGATCTAAAAGGAGAGATAGGCTCCAATAAAATAGTAGTTGGGGACTTCAAGACCCCACTCTCAGCGTTGAAGAGATCATCTAGGCAGAAAATCAACAAAGAAACATCCAATTTAAACATACTACAACCAAAAGACTTAACAGACATTAAGAACATTTCATTCAACAGCTGTAAAATACATATTCTTCTCATCAGCACATGGAACATTCTCTATGACTGACCATGCATTAGGCCACAAAAAAAGTCTCAACAGATTTTTAAAAACCAAAATCTCATCTAGTATCTGTTCTGACCGCAATGGAATAAAACTAAAAATCAACAACAAGAGGAACTTTAGAAGCTGTACAAATACATGGAAATGAAACAACATGCACCTGAATGACCAATGAGTGAATGATGAAATTAAGGAGAAAATTTAAAAATTTATTTAAACAAATAAAAGTGGAAACACAACACCCAAAACCTATAGGATACAGCAAAAGCAGTATTAAGAGGGAAGTTTACATCAGTAAACACATACATCAAAAAAAGTAGAAAGATTTCAAATAAATAACAATGCACCCCAAGGAACTAGAAAAGCAAGAACAAACCAAACCCAAAATTAGTAGAAGAAAATAATAATATCAGAGCAAATATAAATGAAATTAAGACCAAAAAAATGCAAAAAAAAAAGATGAAACAAAAAGCTGCTTTTTTGAAACAATAAACAAAATTTGAAAAGGAATAGCTAGACTAAGAAAAAAGAGAAAAAACCCAAATATATAAAATCAGAAGTGAAAAAAAAGACATTACAACTGATAGCACAGAAATACAAAGGATCATTAGAAACTATTATGAACAACTCTACTTCCTAATTTCTGTTAGAAAAACCTAACAGAAATGGATAAATTTCTGGACACATACCACCTACCAAGACTGAACCAAGAAGAAATGAAAAACCTGAACAGAATAATTACAAGTAACCAGACTGAACCAGTAATAAAACATCTCCCAATAAAGAAAAGACCAGGCACAAATGACTTCACTCCTGAATCCTACAAAATTATTTAAAAAGAACTAATTTCACTGCTTCTCAAACTATTCCAAAAAGTTAAAATGGAGAGAATTCTTCCAAAATCATTGTATGAGGCCAGCATTGCTCTGATAATACAACCGGACAAAGTCACAATAAAAAATAGAAAAGTATAGGCCAAAATATCTGATTAACAAAGATCCAAAAATCCTCAACAAATACTAGCAAACCAAATTCAACAGCACATAAAAAATATACACCATGATCAAGTTGGATTTATCCCAGGAATGCAAAGATGGCTCAATATATGCAAATTCATAAATGTGATACATCACATCAACAGAATGAAAAACAAAAACCATATGATTCTTGAACAAAAAGAACAAAGCTGTAGGCATCACACTACCTGACTTCAAAATATGCTACAAAACTATATTAACCAAAACAGCTTGATATTGGCATAAAAAGAAAAATAGACCAATGAAACAGAATAGACAATGCAGAAATAAATCCATGTATTTAAAGCCAACTGATTTTTTACAAAGGTGCCAAAAACATTCAATGAGAAAAAGGACAGTATCTTCAATAAATGGTACTGGAAAAACTAGATATCCATGTGCAGAAAAATGAGACTAGATCCTTAGTATAAAAATCAATTCAACACAGATTAAAGACTTAAATGAAAAACCCAAAACAATGAAACTACTAGAAGAAAATAGAGGGAATGTTTCAGGACATTGGTCTTCTTTAAAAACCCAAAACTATGAAACTACTAGAAGAAAATAGGAGAAATGCTTCAGGACATTGTTCTGAGCAAAAAATTTATGAATTAGACCTTAAAAGCACAGGAAACAAAAGCAAAAATAAACAAATGGAATCATATATAACTAAAATGCTTCTGCACAGCACAGAAAACAATAAATGGATTAAAGAGACAACCTGCAGAATGGGAAAAGATTTTTGCAGACTAATCATCTGACAAGGGAATTTTTTTTTTTTTTTTTGAGCAGGGTGTCACTGTCACCCAGGCTAGAGTGCAGTGATCATAGCTCACTGCAGCTTCAAACTTCTGAGCTCAAGTGATCCTTCTGCTTCAGCCTTACAAATAGTTAGAACTACAGATATGCACCACCATACCCAGCTGATATAAAAAAAAAATTGTAGAGACGGGGTCTCACTGTGTTGCCCAGGCTGATCTCAAATTCCTGGCCTCAAGCTATTCTCTCACCTCCACCTCTCAAAATGCTGGGATTACAGGTGTCAGCCACTGCACCTAGCCACTGACAAGAGATTAATATCCAGAACATACAACAAACTAAAAAAACTCAATAGCAAAATAATAATAATAATAATCTGATTTTAAAGTGGGCAAATGATCTGAATAGACATCTCAAAAGAAGACATGCAAATGATCAAGTTTACAAAAAATGTTCAACATCATTAATCTTCAAGGAAATGCAAATCAAACCCACAATGAGATAGCATCTCACCCCAGTTAGAATGGCTATTATCAAAAAGACAAAAAATAGCAAATGCTGGCAAAGGTCCAGAGAAAGGGGGACTCATACACTGTTGGTGAAGATGTAAATTAGGACAGCTATTATAGGAAACAGTATGGATGTTCCTCAAAAACTAAAAATAGAACCACCATATGACACAGCAATCCCAGTACTGAGTATTTTTCCATAGGAAAGAAAATCAGAATGTCAAAGAGATATCTGCATTGCCATGTTTATTACAGCACTATTCACAGTAGCCAAGATATGGAATAAACCTGTGTCTATCAACAGATGGATGGATAAAGTAAATGTGGTGTATATACACAATGGAATACTATTCTGCCATAAAAAGAATGAAATCCTGTCACTCACAGCAACATGGCTAAGGCTGGAGGACATTAATGGTTAGTGAAATTAGCCAAGCACAGAAAGATAAATACCACATGTTCTCACTCATATGTCGACGCTAAAAAAGCTGATCTCATAGGAGTAGAAAGTAGAATAGTGATTACTAAAGGCTGAGAAGTGTAGGAGGGAGGGGGGTATAGGTAGAGATTGGTTCACAGATACAAAATTATAGACAGACAAGTGGAATAAATTCTAGTGTTCTATATAGCATTGTAGGTGGCTAGAGTTAACAATTTATTGTATATATTTCTTTTCTTTCTTTCTTTTTTTTTTTTTTTTTTTTGAGACAGTCTCACTCTGTCACCGAGGCTGGAGTGCAGTGGTGCAATCTTGGCTCACTGCAACCTCCACCTCCTGGGTTCAAGTGATTCTCCTGCCTCAGCCTCCCAAGTAGCTGAAATTACAGGTGTACGGCATCATGCCCAGCTAATTTTTGTATTTTTAGTAGAGCCGGCGTTTCACCATGTTGGCCAGGCTGGTCTCGAACTCCTGATCTCCGGTGATCCGCCCACCTCAGCCTCCCAAAGTGCTACGATTACAGGCATGAGCCACCATGCTCAGCTTATTGTATATTTTCAAATCGCTGGAAGACAGGATTTTGATTGTTTCCAATATAAAGAAACTGCAAATGTTTAAGGTGATGGATTTGCTAATTATCTTGATTTGATCACTACACGTTGTACACGTTGTACACATGTATAAAAATACCACACTGTACCTCATAAATATGTACAATTATCTATCAATTAATAATAATTTAAAAATAGATATGCTAAGGCTGATGTTGCAAATATCAACAGGGTCTAATTAAAACTTTCAGAAATTATGTGCCATTAGTTCATTATATAAAGCTTCCAAAGTTTTTACAAGCCACAAATTAACTTAAATATTACTTAATGTTTTACATTTAATATGAATAGCCTGATGATATATTTTGCAATTTCTTGATTTTCCTTACATTTTGGGCACAGCCACTATACATGAGGAAAGAAAACAACAAAACCAAAGGAAAGCCCTTTCCCTAGACTGCCCAATTTTGAAAAATAGGGCTGCAGTACAGTGCTGCGGATGACTGAAACTATTTTATTTGGGAACAAGTGCTGATTCTGAAGGAAAACACACAGGATTGAGAAGTTACAATCTATCACCTATAAAAAGGGATATGAATATGAACTGAGCTAATAAAGACATATGGCAAGTAGAAGACGTTATGAGCCAATCACCAATGCTTGCTTACAGCAGTAGTAATAATAATAAATATTTACTGAGCATTAAAAAAGGAATGTGTAATAAAAAAATAGAATTGGCCATGTACAGTGGCTCACACCTGTAATCCCAGCACTTTGGGAGGCCAAGGCAGGTGGATCACCTGAGGTCAGGGATTTGAGACCAGCTTGGCCAACATGGCAAAACCTCGTCTCTACTAAAAATACAAAAATTAGCCGGGCATGGTGGCGCATGTCTGTAATCCCAGCTACTCGGGAGGCTGAGGCAGGAGAATCACTTGAACCTGAGAGGCAGAGGTTGCAGTGAGCCGAGATTGCACCACTGCACTCCAGCCTGGACACCAGAGTGAGAGTCCGTCTCAAAAAATAAAGAAAATGTTTTGTTTTATGACTCTGTATCCCATTAATCCCATTATCTTAACCATTTTTTTTTAAATCATAGCTAGTATCAATCCACTAGAAACAGCTGTTAAAAAACAAAAGCAAACACACAGCTTTTGTGAAGATACTTATTAGGGCCCCTAGCAGTATCAATCCCAGATCCCAGCCTTGCCCCCTACACCTGCCACAACACCCTTCCCCACTTCCCTCCACCCCACCTCCACCCCCAGCCTATCCTCCTATCATAACCTACCCTTTTCTATCATGAAGCAGTTTAGGTTAATAGTGCCACATTGAAGGAAAAAAAAAAAAGCCTGAAAGCAGCTTTGGCCAAGAGGCAGTCCCCATGACTACAATACATTATTTGTACTCACAAGAAACCAACAACCCTTATCATGTAGGTTAAAATACCAACATGGCACATGTATACGTATGTAACAAACCTGCACGTTGTGCACATGTACCCTAGAGCTTCAAGTATAATAAAAAAAAATCAACAGAATGTGCAAACTGCAACATATGCACTGAGATCATGCAAAGCACCAAGACAAAGATGACTATGCCTTGGAAAGTCTGTTGACGCAGGAAAACTTCCCCTGAGACTGTTCTTTGCCCCAGAGTGGCATCTGAAACTATTTCCCCTGCGCTCCGGGTATATTTACCGTTTCACACATGGCTGCTCATCCAGTCCCAGAATGTGGCATATTTTAGAAACCCTTGGCATTCCTAGAACCTGCTGTCTATAAATATGACTGCAGGACAAATAATTGAAATAAAAATAGGGCAACCTCGAGGCTCAATTAATGAATGTATGCAAGAGTTCGATGAAAGGTCTTACTTATCTGATGAGATTTTTCTACCAAATCCTGCCTTCCCTTCATATTGCCTTACAATTAGGGAAGACTCAGGAATACTAAACTCTGGACACAATATCTCTAAAGTGGGTATGGAATAATATTAGTGAAAGCAAACATAAAAGGAGCTCTAAGGAGCATACACTAAATCTGAGCAATATCAGCTTTCCAAAAACATGGTTTCAACAACATGGCAATTCCTCAAGCAACCTGAAACCTAGTTGTGTAAATCAGTCTTGTAGAAGACAAAAGTTCAGATTGAGACACTATTAGGTTATCTAGTGAATACATGATAGCACTGTTATTTTTACAGTGCTTTTGGAAAGATACACTTGTCTGAGAATTGGGCTAATGAAATAGATTTGTTAATTCAAGCCATAATTAACATAGAATTTACAAAAAAAAAAAGGCACTCCTTTCTCTGAGGAAAAAAATTAAGACAAAATGTCACCCAACATACATATTTGGATTTGCTAATTTTCAGTCAAGACCACTCCTAATAGAGTTTGTGGGGCAAAATTTCACCAAACAACAAAGGGAAAGTGGGGAGAGTGAGAACAGAGAGGTGGATGGCCATGAGAGTAACCTATTTGCAAGTTTTCTTTTGGGATGAAATCCAACTAGCTAGATAGATAAGAAGAGTATATACTGATAGTGCTATGCCAGGCCTACCTAGATAGTTAGATATAATTGCCTTAATTCACCTGCAAAATAACTGTAGTCTGTGACATTGCTCAAGGTGGAGTTCACAGGGCCAGAGTCCAAATGACTAGACTGAAAAAAAGATTTAAGCGGCGGGAGGGGAGGGGGAGAATCAGTGGCTCATGTTCTTGTTTCCCATTTGTTCCAGTCCAATAAAATCTAACTATGTCACTGAAATGAAAAACAAACAACCCTTGTTTGTAATAGGAAAGAATTTAACTTACTCAAAACCAGAAAAGGGGGGAAGGGAAGGGGGAATAATGCAACACACATTTAGAAATATAGAATTTATTTATATTCATAAGACAGTTTCACATTCTGTACATGGTTACCAGAACAGATACAATACTCTCAGTAGTTTACAACGGCATTATATTGCTGTCAAACATTGCTTATGCTGTGTGAGTTGGGGAAAACTTATTTCCCCCTCTAAAAAAAATTAAGGCTCAGTTTCCAAAAGATAATTATATCAGTCATTTTTCTGTTTAAGAGACTGGGAAAATTCGGGAATAAAAAGCACAAAGGGGTGGAGGGTGAGGGGTAGCTCCACACACTCTCATTCATTCATACTGAAGTTACTCAATGTGATTTTTTTTTTTTAAGGCTCCTTCTATCTGAAAATGTGTTTGGTTACAAAAACAAACAAATCAGTAGATGGGAGGGGTACTAGGTACAGATCTACAGCATTCAAACAAGGAAAACTAAGCTCTTTGTTACCAGTTGCTGGTTAAAATGTGGTCTACGAGCTGCCTACATATAAATGCGCACACACATTAACTTTGACTCACTTTTCTTTGGCGAAGCTTACTGAATAGTATTTCTCTTCCAACACACTAATGACACTAATTTACATTTCCTTTTGACTTTCAGAGCAGGTGGCCACAAAGTTGTCCCTTTTCCTAAATACAATCCTCCATTTTTCCTTTCAACCTTGCAGTAGACCATAACCATAATGGTCATCTTGCACTGATGTGTAATCTCACCATTTAAGTGACTGAAGAAAGTGGCAAGGCTAATTACAGAAAAAGAGTTTGGGCATTTTTGGAGAATTACCCTATCGATGAGTTCCAAACACACTTTTCAAGCACTTTTTTCTATACAAATATTTCATTCAGTCCACAGTGATGCCATCATTTTACAAAAGCAGAATCTGTTTTAACTCAGTAAACCACCTTACAATCCATGGGGCTAATGTTACAACAACAACAAAAGCCAAAAAGGGCACCTGTAGGTTCTGCCTCTGGCATAAAGAGGTAGAGACAATCATTCTGTAGAAAAGATTAACAATAATAAAAACAAAACAATAAAACAAAACAAAACAAAAAAAGCCATTCCATTTCTAAGGGCTAGTTCTAGATCTAAAGGCTGTCATCCGTCCTCTTAGCTGAGAGATCCATTGCCCACAATCATCTTGCTGTAATTTTTCTGCTGCTCTTCCTTAAAGATGTCCTTCACCTTTGCTCTCTTTAGTCCTCCATCCCTGCAAACAGAAAGACAAATACATAAAAGATACTTTACAGCGGTGATTTAAAAGAGTTAACTTAATAATTACATGCTGCATGATACCATGACGCTTAGGCAGCTGGGATGAAATAAGGGAAAGAACACTGGATTTGGAAACAGGAAGACCCAGGTTTCAGTTTCTGCCCTACCACTTGCCAAATACACATTACTTTGAGGAAGGAACAATCTCTCTGATGTTTGGTTAAAATAAGTAACAATATCCCCAACTCAGTTTCTTTAGAAGTTAAGGGGTGGTGTATTAAATATTTGGATTGGCCAGGCACAGTGGCTCACATCTGTAATCCCAGCACTTTGGGAGGCCAAGGTGGGTGGATCACCTGAGATCAGGAGTTCGAGACCAGCCTGGCCAACATAGTGAAACCCTGTCTCTACTAAAAATACAAAATTAGCTGGGCATGGTGGTGTATGCCTATAATCCCAGCTACTTGGAAGGCTGAGGCAGGAGAATCGCTTGAACCCGGGAGGTGGAGGTTGCAGTGAGCCGAGATCACGCCATTGCACTCCAGCCTGGGCAACAAGAGCAAAACTTCGTCTCAAAAACAAACAAACAAACAAACAAAAACTGGATTGAAACAAGGATTATTAAAACTAGGATTATTTCTCTATATTATTCCTTAAGGAAAACAAAATACTGGTTTTTCGTCTACCTATGTCTTACTAGAAAACCACAGGAAAATTTAAAATATACACAGAAGAAATGGTAAGGGTACTGTATATGTGTGGGTAAATTTCTTAAAGATAAATGATTATTCAAAAAAGATAAATCATTGTTCAAATATAACCCTATCTATGTTTAACAAGTTATATTTTCTTTTTTTTTTTTTTTTTTTTTTGAGACAGAGTTTTGCTCTTGTTGTCCAGGCTGGAGTGCAATGGCACAATCTTGGCTCACCGCAACCTCCACTTCCCGAGTTCAAGTGATTCTCCTGTCTCAGCCTCCTGAGTAGCTGGGATTACAGGCATGCACCAACAGGCCCGGCTAATTTTGTATTTTTAATAGAGACAGGGTTTTTCCATGTTTGCCAGGCTGGTCTCGAACTCCCAACCCCAGGTGATCTGCCTGCCTCAGCCTCCCAAAGTGCTGGGATTACAGGCGTGAGCCACCGTGCCCGGTCTAACAAGTTGTATTTTCATTCAAAGCACTATATTTCCAGCATTTATAATCATTTATATTCCAAAACAGATTCCGAATAAAATAACAAAATCATAAGTTGCATTCAACCAGAAGTGCCTATGTAAGCAGCATTCCTTCATTCAGAGCCTGTAAATCTTTGAACTCTCTCCAGGGTGCCTGCCTGGGTATAAGAACTCTGCATGCTTTTCCTTCTTTGGACTACACATAAAGAAACAACAAACTGGAGTTGCTGGGAGTAGTTTGGACTATCATAGGTCACTATCTGGCTCCTAATCTAAAGTTTTAGATTTTAACTGCTAGGAGAGCATGGGCTGAGAACTTGCTTACTTTATACTCTGACTGTTTAATTTTAACCCAGTTAAGCATGCATGTTTACCAAATGCTTTCTGATGATGGTGAATGATCGTAGGTTAGCCAGTGAACTCAATGCCATGTGGACAGAACTTGACCTCCACAGAGACACCGGCTTGAGACAAATGCAATGTTCTGGCTTCTAGACTCAAATCTAAGACACAGCAATAAGTCCTCAACTTAAAAACAGACTGTGATCCACAAATCATCCAGTGGGTCAGTTGTGGGAGGTTTTCATGAAACAAGATTATAAATTGTTGTTAGGTCCACAGAATTGTCCACATAAGCCTCTTTTATCCAAATGAGCTTCTTCTATTAACAGCACTTACCTGAATTCTGAATAGTGAGAACTAAGGAAACTAAAGAAATAAGAAAGGCCTTTCTCCTTTCACAAGATCCAAGCCCAAAACAGGCAAAAATGTAAGTCTTGAGCAATCTGACATCATTTTGTACAATTCTCCTTCCCAAGCACCCAGTAAACCTCATGCTGCTCTAAGCACTTAAACTGTGATTTGCCACCCCTTAGAGACTTCAAAATTTTATCCAATTCCCCTTTGCAATGGCAGCAGGTCTTAGTTCTTAAGAGAGGGAGCAGCCATATATAAAAGCCAGTTTAAGATCATAAAATTATATTTTCACTCAATCTATGAAAAAACAATCTAGATATGTTAATTCATAACCAATAGGTACATGACAAATAAATCTAGAAAGGCAATGAGGCCACTTTCTTTTTTTTAAGAGGCTAGGTAATTAAAAGTAATTTTATTATACAATTGCATATGGCCTGAAAAAAGGACACTGGACAATTCTGAGGATCATTTTTGATGGATTTAGTTCAGCCACTCTGATGGAGAGTCTGTACTTGGCTGACTCCCCTAGGTTGTTCTTGTCTCTCAAGGCTTTCTTCCCTTCCTGTGTCTGAGACTACAGACACTGACTTCAGGATAGAAGCAGGAGGGCTGAGTGTCAGGTAAGATAAAGAGTGAGTAAAGAGTTTTAAATAAGGAAAAGGAACCCAGTTGCACGTATGACCATGGGTTATAGGACATCTGTGGACCAAGGTCGTTTTATATAGTTTTGTGATGCTATGATTCTGTCATTTAGTTTAACATATTCCAATGTAGACAGTGTAATACAAATGTTTAGTCTTAACCTATGCCTTAGGACTAGTCAGTTTCATACTCCAGGATGTATGGAACTCAAGTCATACACCTTGTTAGTCAAGAACTCTTACTCCAGGGTGGTCAGCTAGCATTTAATCAGAAGGCCGCCTTTCAGAGATGCCACTAATGGCTTCAGCTATCTTTATCTTTATTGCCCATCGATTTCTCAAGCTTTGTTAATTAGCATAACAAATTTTATTTATTTGTTTATTTATTTATTTGAGACAGGGTCTCGCTCTGTCACCCAGGCTGCTGTGCAGTGGCACGATCTCAGCTAACTGCAGCCTCGACCTCCTAGGTTCAAGGATTCTCAGGCCTCAGCCTCCCGAGTAGCTGGGACTACAGGTGTGCGCCATGGCGCCCAGCTAATTTTTGTATTCTTTTTGTAGAGACAGGGTTTCGCCATGTTGCCCAGGCTGGTCTCGAACTCTTAAACTCAGGTGATCTACCTGCCTCAGCCTCCCAAAGTGCTGGGATTACAGGCATGAGCCACTGCACCAGGTCCTTGCATAACAAATTTTAGAAATGAGTTTTCACTGTAGAAATTAGTGGTTTGTTAATTTGCATAATGGATATCAGAAACTGGTTTACCTGGATGCAATTAGTTGTATTCACGCTATGTGAATGGATAAATATTTTAGTGTTATTCCCCACCCTTGCATAATGGAGTACAGTAAGTCCTCCCTGAACATTGTTGATAGGTTCTTAGAAACTGCAACTTTAAACAAAATGATGCATAAAAAACTCAATATTTTTTCTCATCAACATTATAAAGAAACAACATTGAACAAAATGATGTTATTTATTCAAGAACCTACTATAAAGTCATTTTGCTTAAGGTCACAGCCTACAAGAACCTATCAATGATGTGAAGTGAATGCTTACTGTGTAATATCTAGCCAGCCCTTCTTCGAGAGGCAGACACCTTAAACCATCCTCTGCTGGTTCAGGAGGGTCCCTGGTTTCCTGGCTGACAGCCTAACTCAGTTGGCCAAATCCTGCTCCTAGAAACATTGCTACAATTGTCTGAAATAAACTTTTCTTGCAAAGTGTTTTTGAAACACCAAAAAAGACAGCAGGGAGTTTATTAACTGTATAGGACTTGAGGTATAGACTGTTTTGTGACAGCCTGCTAATTTAACATCCTGTATGTAAATAAGAATCCAATCTCCCGGCCAGGATCGGTGGCTCACGTCTGTAATCCTAGCACTCTAGGAGGCTGAGGTGGATCACCTGAGGTCAGGAGTTGGAGGGCAGCCTGGCCAACATAGTGAAACTCCATCTCTACTAAAAATACAAAAAAAATTAGCTGGGGATGGTGGTGCATGCCTGCAGTCCCAGCTACTCAGGAGGCTGAGGCAGGAGAATTGCTTAAACCCAGGAGGTGGAAGTTGCAGTGACCCAGATTGCACCACTGCACTCCAGCCTGGGTGACAGAGAGGACTCCATCTCAAATAATAATAATAATAATTCAATCCCCCATTATAATGTAGGTATAGTTAACCTTCACTGAGATAGACTGAATGTTTTTGTCTCCCCCAAAATTCATATGTTAAAGCCCTAACTACCAATATGGTGCTATTTGGAGATGGATCCTTTGGGAGGTAATTAGGGTTAGATGAGGTCATGAGGGTGGAGCACTCATGGGATTAGTGCCCTTATAAAAAGAAACACTAGAGAACTTGCACTCTCTCTTCATGCCTGCACAAAGAAGGGATCATGTAAGCACACAGGAGAATGCAGCTATCTGCAACACAAGAGGAGAGCCCTTATCAAAAACTGACCATGCTGCACCCTGATCTCAAACTTCCAGCCTTTAGAACTGTGGGAAAATAACAGTTCTAAAACTGTTGTTTAAGCCACCCAGTCTGTGGTACAGTAACTCCCCCCTTATCCAAGGTTTTGCTTTCCATGGTTTCAGTTACCCACAGTCAACCATGGTCTGAAAATATTAAGATATTTTGAGAAAGAGAGAGACCACATTCACATAACTTTTATTAGTCAGTGTATTATTATAATTGTTCTATTTTATCAGTTGTTATTGTTGTTAATCTCTATTACTAATTTATAAATTAAGCTTTATCATAGCTATGTACATATAGAAAAAAACATAGTCTATATAGGATTTGTACTATCCATGGTATTAGGAATTTACTAGGGCACTTGGAACATATCCCCCATTATCCAGAGGGGACCACTGTATTTTGTCTGGCAGCCCAAGCAGACTAATACATTCACCTATATTCAATCTTCCTCAAACAAACAAAAACTAAAGCCATAGTGATCCATAACTAAAATATTTCACTTATTTCCCTTCTTTCAAGTTGTTCAGTTTTCTTACAATATAGTTATAGCTAGAGTTAAATATGAATGAGCCTGTAAGTAGCCCCTTGCCTCCCAATGCCCACCCCACTCACAAATCCATTCCCGCTTTCTTCATAAGAAAAAGAACCCTAAATGTGAGATAGGCATATAGCCACCCAGAACAAAGACTACATTCCCCAGCTTCCTTTGCAGCTAGGTGTTATCACATGACTTGAGTACTAGCCAATGGATACAAGCATAAGTGGGATATACAACTCTCAGCTTGTGCTCTTAGAGATGGGTGTGTCCTTTTTAAAATTCCTTCCTCATAGCCATTTGCTGTACACACTGAGTAGAGTTGGAACAGCCATCTTAGACCATAAGAGAAGCACAAATTGAGGAGAGTAAAGCAACACAGATTGAGCTGTTACCAGCCTTCACTGGTTATGTTTAAGTGAGAAATAAACTTCTATCTTACTTAAGCCATTGTTATATATAAACCACTATTACTTTCAGCTAAACCTATAACTGACTAGAATGATAAATGACATTATTACCAGTGATTTTTTTAATTAAAAAAAAGAAAAGGCCAGGAACAGTAGCTCATGACTGTAATCCCAGCACTTTGAAAGGCTTAGGCAGGAGTTCAAGTCCAGGAGTTTGAGACCAGCCTCAGCAACACAAGGACACCCCATCTCTACAAAAAATTTTAAAATAGCTGGGCATAGTGGCAAGCACTTGTAGTCCCAGCTACTCAGAAGGCTGAGATGGGAGGATCCCTTGAGCCCAGGCGGTCAAGGCTACAGTGAACTATGATCAGGCTACAGTGAACTATGATCATGCTACTGCACTCCAGCCTGGGTAAAAGAGTGAGGCATTCTCTAAAAAAAAAAAAAAAAAAAAAAAAAAAAAAAAAAAAGTGATAGTACTTCTGAAAGTTCTCTTACCAGGGAAGTTCAGTCAGGCCTCCTTGTATAGCAATAGCAGACTTAACCCTGTTAGCAAACTGGACTGCATCTTCTCCTTCCTGGTTTAAAAAAAAAAAAAATTGCAAGAATATCTTAGTTATCGAGTTTTTAATACCATCTCATAATCATTTGTATTTGTTTTAAAATATAAGATTCATATTTCAGCTCAAATGCTTTCTATTCTTAATCAATCATAGCAAATATCATTTGTTCTATAAAGAAAATGCAGTGTTGTATTGTTTAATTTTTTACCATGTGCATATATTTATTACGCTCTTTATTAGTCTTACCCAAGATAATATCTGTAGGTTCAATAAACCAACAGCAATTATAAAACCATCGTGGAAAATAATCTCTCAATATAAAATGGTCTGATTTAAAGTGAGCTAAATACATCATTAAAAAAATGACCCATTTGCTGAGAAAGCAGAAAAGCATGACATGGAGAAGGGAGACACCCAGATTTTCAGGTGAAGATCTCCTTGCCTCTACCTGATTAGATAAAGTGTTAGCTAAGGAATACCTCTCTGGTCATGGGGGGCATGTACCACACGTCACAGACGATGGCCCAGCTGGTCATCATTCGAAGCAGGTAGCTCACCATGTTGTATTTACTACTGTTCCAAAATGCATCACCGAACTGAGGGTTATACTGAGAAAAAAGAAAATACATCTCAGTTATGAAATAAGGGTGGTTTCTCATCCGTGCCCAATGTTTTAAAGGTGGTAGGCCAAACAGCTTTATCAGACTCTAAGAAAAAAAAAGTTATTTCACTTGATGGAATTTATCAAAAAAAAAGTAAACTGGGCCAGCTAATACATCTGACTAGAGATGACTGCTTTTCTAAATAGAACCAAAGAGCACACCAACAAGAGTTATTTACATGACTATTAAATATCTGTCTCCACACTTAACTAGAAGGCTGATGAAAGCAGGAACAGAATCTGTTTCACTTAACACTATGAGCAAATACAACACCTGGCACAGAGTCACCCAGTATACATCTATCTACATATAGAGAGCGAGCACATGAGAAAGCAGGGGAGGCAAAGTGCAGAGGACTGGTGCATCCGAAAACTGGTGTTCCTCGTTCTTGCAAATTTTAAGTTTGAAATGCTACCAAAATAAAATTACCAATCCAATATCTTTATAATAATTATTATTCTTATTATGGTATCTGTTTTACCTTAATTGCAACTGGATGTATGGTTCCTCCAATTTCAAAGCTCCCCTTTTTAAACATCATGACTGAAGTATTGTTGATGCAAGTTCCTGCAAGGGGGTGAGGGTAGGAGCGTGAATATTTTTAAAGGCAGTCATTTTAAAAATAAATTTTAAAAGAAATTATTTTGATATAAAATAATTTAAAATATCAAAATTACAGGCATCGTACTACCATATCACAAACGAACCCCTGCCAAGGTAGTAATCCTATAGTTCTGACTAAGCAGGTTTAACAACAAGCTTTTACTTTTCTACTGAACACTCTATGGGCCTATGGGAACAACTTCTCAACAGGTGAAATTTCAATACATGCAACCCTTAAAGTCACGGACAATTCTGCTCTCAGTTCACTACCCAGAAATGACTTTTGAATTAAAAAGGTAACATGACTTCTATCAAGTCTCAAAAGAAAGCAAGGAATTAATAACTCAGAGAGTGCCATCCCATTCCTCTAAGGGCAGAGATCTGGGCTAAGGTTGCCAATTCTATGGCAATTCTATTCCTCACACACTTTTGATGGTTTGTTGTTATCAACTATAGCTCGGGAGGCAGGCCCATTCTTACCTTCAGGAAAAATTAGTATGGGTAGTTTCTTCTTATCAGCAATATGTTCTTTTAGTCTATGGAAAAAAAAAGGATCAAAATTCTGCCTTTATAAAGAGAGAGGTGGATGTCCTTTTTGATATTCCTTGCACTTTACTGGCACAATTGTGAAGCAATAAGGAGAAAATAATTGAGATACAGGTAAAAGAAATAAATTTGAGTTGTTTCCTTTCCAAAAAAGTTTAAGAAGATCTGCACCATTATAATTTCTCTAATTTCAAAGTAAGTCTTTTTTCTTTTTTTTGGTGGGTGGGGGATGGGGTCTCACTCTTTCATCCAGGCTGGAGTGCAGTGGCATGATCTCGGCTCACTGCAGCCTCCACACCCTGAGCTCAAGCAAACCTCCCTCCTCAGCCTCCCAAGTAGCTGGAACCACAGATATGCACCACTACACCCTGCTAAGTTTTTGTATTTTTTGTACTGATGGCATTTCACCATGTTGCCCAGGTTGGTCTCGAACTCCTGAGCTCAAGCGATCCACCCGCCTCAACCTCCCCAAGTGCTGGGATTACAGGCATGAGCCAATGTGCCTGGACCAAAGTAAGTGATTTTCAGTGTCTTCGCCTATTCTTAAAAGAGAATATTAGACAGTCATTTGACTCTAGAGTCATGGACTCTAGAGCCTCTGTGTCATGAGCTTTGTGCTCTTCTCCATGTACTTAGGTTTCCTCATCTGAAAAATGGGAATATTGGGTTGCTGGACCTACCTGCATTATGGCCATTAAGTACAAGACAATCCTTAAATGATTCAGGTTGAACTTTCCATTTGCACACCATGAAGCTGAGAAAGACTGACATTCTTCCAGGCTTATGTCCTGTCCTCCCTGCAACCAACCCTATATTTCCAACTCTTCTCTCCAGAGCTGGTAAGGGCTGAGGTAGCCAGACTGCAGCTGCCAGAGTGTCCCACTGCCAAATGATCTCAAGATAGGGAATCGTTTTTCTAACTTGAAGCAGATTCATCAAGTACTTTTCATTATATTAAGAGTAATGGACCACCTTTGTGTTTATAGAAGCGATAACCAATGTGCCTTCCAGTTAAAGGCCTCGGGCCAAAAGCTGTTTCCTAACGAAGGTTTCTGGTAGCTCATCTCTACCCTAAACCCCAGAGGTTCCTTCTCCCATTCCTCTGTCTCTAGCTGGATCTTCTTTTTTTTTTTTAAGACAAGGTCTCCCCCTGTTGCCTAGGCTGGAGGGCAGTAGTGTAATCTCAGCTCACTGCAGCCTCAACCTCATGGTCTCAAGCGATCCTTCCTCCCAAGTAGCTGGGACCACAGGCATATGCCACCACATTTGGCTAATTTTATTTATTTTTTGTAGAGATGAGGTCTCACTATACTGCCCAGGCTGGTCTTGAACTCCTGGGTTCAAGCCATTCTCCTACCTTGGCCTCCCAAAGTGCTAGGATTACAGACGTCAGCCACCATGCCCAGCTTCTAGCTGGATTTAAGTGATAACAATCATTCAGCAAACACTTAATCAATCATATATTTAGCAAGTAGTTATCAAATATTTAACCTTCAAGGTGGTTTTTTTTTCTTTTTTATATATTTTTTATTGAGGTAAAGTATACATATCTAATTTATTTTTTTAATTGCTTATACTCAAGTGAGATCATATCTAATTTAAAGGTGGTAATTTTTATCTTTGAAAATTCAGTGACTGGACTATATCTAAGTCACAGCAATATAAATACATTGGCCTTCCAATCCCATCATATATCCTACCATGACTACAGAATTACATTTTTTAAAAATCTGGCTAAGACAGGTGATTTGCCAGAAAAATCCAACAGCAAACAGGGCTCTGTTTCAGTTTTGAGACTCAGTGCTGCTCGGCCCTCTTTGGTAGCAAGGCCAAGATTGGTCAGCTTTTATGCTACTCCAGTGAATGCTGAGTAATTTCACTGCTTACCTCTTAGTAACCAGGTGTCGATCCTTCATTTCTGAGCGTTCAAACCAGACATGAGGACAAGCCTTGACCATAGCTCTCTGAATAATTCCCATCAAGCCGCCATGAACCTGGCCAACCTAGAAGTAGCATAAGAAAAGGAAAAAACGTAAAAGGCACCGTTGTGCAAAGAAAGTTTTTTAAGTACCAACAAATTTCTATTCTCCACTCAAAAATATGATTGGCCTTCTACTGACTGAAGTTCTTAGTCTGATCAAATAGTCTGAAAGGCCAAATGTAAGCAAAAAGGTATTCTTTAGTAGCACCTTTGAATTTTAAGTTACGTTGCTGTGCTAGCAATCCTCTAACTTCAAAAAGTAGAGGTTTTTCAACTTGGTCAACATTAGAGAAATGTAAATTAAAACTACACTGAAATACCTTTTCAAACCCATCACACTGACAAAGATTTAAAAGCTTGACAATACACTCTGACATAAGTCTATGGATAACTTTCAAACATTGCTTGGTGGAAGGGAGCAGATTACAACACAAATGGAAAGAAATTTGGCAACATCTACAAAATTGCATACACACTCATCTTTCATTTCAATAATTCCTCTCCTAGAAATTAACCCTGAAGATATACTTCCAACAAATTGAAAATATATATGCACAAGGCTATTAACTACAGCATTACTTGTTATGGCAAAATATTAGAAACTACCTAAATGTCCAAATATAAGAAATTAGATAAATAGATAATGGTACATACAAATAATGGAGTATTATGCAGCTGGGAACAGAGCAAGGTTGATCTCTATGACTGATAAAGAGTAATTTCCAGGAGATATTGTTAAATGAAAAAGACAAAAGAACAAATACAGTATGCTACCTTTTGTATAAGACTAAAGGGGAAATAATATGCATACATGTGTTTATCTCTACAAAAAGAAATACAGAAAGGATAACCAAAGTCAATGAACCTACAAGAGTAGGAAGGAATGGGATGGAATGAACATGGAAGGTAGTGGCACTTCAATGAGTATACCTTTTCGGCTTAGTTTTGACATTTGGAAGCATATTGATACCCTACATATTCAAAAAAAATTAAATCAGTAAGGAGCGAATGACAGACTAAAGCAAACTGAAGCCAGTGAACCCAATTGGATTTTAAATGAGTAAAAGAACAGCATTGAAGGAAGGGGGAAACATCCAAGAAACTTGCAAAGACAGTATCTGACTACATACCCTCCATCTTGGATGGCATTGTAAGAACTGCAAAACATCCTGAACTCTTTTTACTACCTTTTTTTTTGTAGTAGTGAAGCAATTCTGAAATAATTTTAGATGTATCATAGAATTGAGAAAATGAGTAAACATATTGATATTGTTGGGAAACAGGATTTTCATTATGAAAATGGGAGATACAAATATTAATTGAAGGAAAGCAAGAAAGAACCTTAAGAGTTGGATGTATTCAGATTTCCAATGTAAATATTAGAAATAAATAGTAAATATAGGCCAGATGTGGTGGTTCACACCTGTATTCCCAGCACTTTGGGAGGCTGAGGTGGGAGGATTACTTGAGGTCAGGAGTTCAAGCCCAGCCTGGCCAACATGGTGAAACCCCATCTCTACTACAAACTACAAAAATTAGCTGGGTGTGGTGATGGTCACCTGTAATCCCAGCTACTTGGGAGGCTGAGGCAGGAGAATCACTTGAACCTGGGAGGCAGAGGTTGCAGTGAGCCGAGATCATACCACTGCACTCCAGCCTGGACAACACAGGAGGACTATGTTTAAAAAAAAAAAAAAAAAGTCCTGGCTCGGTGGCTCACACCTGTAATCCCAGGACTTTGGGAGGCCAAGGTGGGTGGATCACCTGAGGTCAGGAGTTTGAGACCAGCCTGGCCAACATGGCAAAACCCCGTCTCTACTAAAAATACAAAAATTAACTGGGCATGGTGGTGGGCACCTGTAATCCCAGCTACTAGGGAGGCTAAGGCAGGAGAATCACTTGAACCTGGGAGGCGGAGGTTGCAGTGAGCCGAGATCACACCACTGCACTCCAGCCTGGGCAACAGAGTGAGGTGCTGTCTCAAAAAAAAAGAAATGTTAAATATAAATATATTAAAAATACAAACATTTTACCCACATTTTTATAGGGAGAGACAGAACAAGAGAGCTTTTCCCAGTACCTGAGAAAGCAAATGACAAAGCAAATGAGGCACAATCTTACCAACAGGTAAATGTGGATAAAGGGCATAAGGGTGCTCTAATGTGATTTTCTTATTATTATAACTTTTCTGTAAGCTTGAAAACATTTCTAAATTTAAAAAAGTAGAGGTCTTTGTCTAGAGGGAAAAACAAGACTAGAAAAGTCACTGAGTGAGGTAATGGATATGTTAATTAGCTTGATTTAGCCATTCTACAATGTATACATCTATCAAAACATCTGTTGTATACTACAAATATATATAATTTTTATTTGTCAATTAAACAGTAGATTTCTTTTAATAAAAGGAGAGTCACTGAGAAGAGATCTTTGATGTTCTTTCAATACAGAGTTTATGTTTAGTCAAAAGAGGCCAATTATGATGTCTGGAGGCTAATGGCATGGTATCATCCCACATCTGCCTTACGCCACCTCCAATTTAAATTCAGTCAACTTTAGTTTTCTACACTCAACCCACTGGACAGTTTACAGTTACTATGCTTTTCTAAATTTTGGCTAATATATTGTAATTGCGGTTATACATGATCTAAAAGTAAAGAAAATGCCAACAAAGTTCTGAGGTCCTTGGTTACAAATGGGTTATACTCAACTCTTTGTTGACCAGAATACAGGAGGAATATGATTTCTGAAACACAAAACCATGACCAAGGAGTGTTATGGTTTGCAACAGTTTTGGGAGGTGGGGCATAACGAGAGATACTGAGGCCATGAGGGTGCTCTCCTCATGGATGGATTAAAGCCCTTATAAAATGGCTCTGGGAGTAGGTTTGCTTTCTTGGGCTTTTGGCCCTTCTGCCTTATACCATGTGATGACTCAGCAAGAAGACCATGGACAGATGCTGGCACCTTGATATTGGACTTCCCAGCCTCCAGAACTGTTAGTCAATAAATTTCTGTTCATTATAAGTTACAGTCTGTGGTATTCTGTTGTAGCAGCACAAAATCAACTTAGGCAGATTGGTTGCCTAAGCCTCTGCTTCCTCATCTATAATAAAATCTCAGACCTAACCTGATTGGATTACAGGGAAGGTCAAATATAATGCATGAAAGTGTCCACATAAATACAAGGATTATTACATACACTCAGAACTGTGCTGCGGGGTCTAGGGTGTTAACATGAGGGTCCTTGGATGGTCTTTAGGGAGACCCATAAACATCTTGAAATTATACATAAAATTGTTGTTTGTATGATGCAGATATGGTTAGTTTTTTTCTTTAAAAAGGTACATAACTATCAACTAATTCCTAACCTAAGAAAAGATTAAGAACTACCAATTCTCATAAGTCTTTTCATAAAGGTGGCTAACGCTTTCTTAGATTCAGAAAGAGCTCCATTATTTAGAGAAATTTAATAACGTGTTAAAATGTAGTATCCAAGAGTTATATATCTGGCCATGTATTTTAGACAGATTAAACACATGGCAATAAGCAGAAATTTTTGCAAAGGCCTTCAAAATCCCC
The DNA here is from genome assembly GCF_000001405.40 of Homo sapiens. NCBI lineage: Eukaryota > Metazoa > Chordata > Mammalia > Primates > Hominidae > Homo > Homo sapiens. The sequence goes on along the minus strand of NC_000004.12, from coordinate 83,591,287 downwards.
TTAATGATTGTGTAACCCATGCAGAGTCAAATACTTGCACATGTGCCAATACTCTCCACCTTCCTACTTGCAGCGACATTTAATCAAAAATGGCTCCCTTCAAATGCCTTCCCAGAAAAACACACCAAACCATGGCTGTCAATCCCTGGAACTGGTAAGTGAAATAAAACCCATCTACTCTCCCTGAAGCCCAACCCACCACCATGAAAATTTGAAAAGGCGATCCCCTAGGACCCTTGTCCAGGCATTCTATGCCAAACACCAACTGAAGGCATATTTAACTACCATGCAGCTTCAATTATCCTGCAGAATTTACCTGACACAGAAAGGAGATGCAAGAAATCTTGACAAATTTGCAAGGGCAACAGAAAACACAGATTTGAAAAAAAAAAAAAAAAAAAAGAATATGATTCCTATATTCATCCCCAAGAAAGGCTGTTTTGAGATGTACAGTTTTACTGTAGGCTTTGTAGTTTGTTCTTGGGTTTGTTTCATTTTCTTTTCTTTTGGGGCTATGGGCAAGGACTGAGAAAGACAACCTGATATAAATATTTGCCTTTCTTGCTAGATCCTCATTAAAGAGCCAGATTTCTTTTAATTGCATATAAGTCCCTGAAGGAAGAAAGAAGTAATTGGCTGGCTAGGGGATATGTGCAACTGTAAAAAGAAAGAATTTAATGTTGCAAATATTATTAAACACTGGCAGGGATTTTACAAGGAAAATGGAATCAACTTTACAAGGTCCTATTAAGCTCAAGAATGTCTGCATTTCAGTAAGTTAATTTTTTACCATCTTAAATATCATGGCTATTTTCCTTCCTTTTCTTGCACTACATATTCCTCATGTAAATACATTACATAACTTATATAGCTACAATAGTATAACGCAGTCAAATTTCTAACATAAAACCAACTTGCTAATTTATGCCAAAATAAAAAGTTTGATCAATCCATAAAACATGCAACTACTTGAAATATCAATGAGCTGCTCTTACCATAGCATAACATCCATCCGTTGTCAAGATTAAAACATCAATGGGGGAAGTATGGTTGGCAACACAAATGCCTCCCTTCTGGGGTCTGTACTGCCTGCAATTACAAACAATGGAAAATTCGAAGTCTTCTAAAATAGCCACAGCATGTAAATACTCATCTTACTTTTTTAAGTGTGTGTGTGTGTATATATGTAATTTTTTTTTTCGCGTCTCACTCTGTTGCCCAGGCTGGAGTGCATTGGTGCAATCTTGGCTCATGGCAACCTCCACCTCCAGGGGTTCAAGCAATTCTCCTGCCTCAGCCTCCCAAGTAGCTGGAATTACAGGTATGTGCCATCAGGCCCAGCTAATTTTTATATTTTTAGCAGAGATGAGGTTTCTCCATGTTGGCCAGGCTGGTCTCAAACTCCTGACCTCAAGTGATCTGCCCCACTCGGCTTCCCAAAGTGCTGGGATCACAGGCATAAGCCACCGTGCCTGGTCTTTTTTAAGTATATTTTTAAAAATTAAGTTTGGAGGTACACGGGCCCATCTTTAAAAGGTGATCTCTAGGTAGTGTGATGAGAGTGTGGTAGGGGGCCCATGATTTTTCCATTGATAATACACAGCTTTCACTTATTTAATCTGAAGTATTTTCACATTATTCTGATCTTCATATACATCACTTTTAGTGGTTTCATGGTAATCCACGGAGAAAATTCACCATAATTTCCTCCCTCCTATCCTCCTAGAGCAGAGGTTGGCAAACTTTTCTTATCAAGGGCCAGACAGCAAATACTTTAAGCTTTGCAAGCCAGACAATGCTTGTCACAATTACTTGACTCTGCTGTTGTGACACAAAAGCAGCCACGGCTGTGAATGAGCACGGCTGTGTTCCAATAAAATGTTATTTACAGAAAACAGCTGGTGGGCCAGATTTGGCCTATAGGCTCCCAGTTCAGTTTGTTGATCTCTACCCTAGAGTGAAACCAGTATTTGACACCAATAAAGCAAAGTAGTTTTCTTTGGGCCTATACAGAGAAGAAAGAACCAAATACACAATTATTTAGCATATTTTCTTCAAAATGAGAAGCAATTCTATAAGAAGTTAGGAACTCCTCTTTATGTAATAAGTGTGCCTTTTCTACAGGTGTTTCTTCTGACTGCACACCTGCCAGAGTGTTTTCTTTCACTCTTCACTTTAAAACTCATAGTCCAATTGCAACATCATATAATTTAAAATGTTTAAAGGGTCTTTTATGTTGGTACCACATGGTAAAGCCAAATGGCAAAATGTTTCCCTTCTACAAATGAGAAAGAAAGACCAAATCAGTAAAAAAGAGAAGCTTGGCCTAGAACTTTTAAAATGATGTTAAATCTAAAAAAAATTAAGATAATAGAAAAGTAGTTCAAATGCAATCAAAATCACTTTCACTTAGCTAATTCCTTTCCTTTGCTGCCTTCATTCTCTACAATTCTGGGAGAGAAAAGCAGAATTTTGTTTTAAGGCTCAATTATGGAATTTTAGAAGTAGCAGGACTAAGAATAGAGACCACATTTCCAGACTCCACGTCTAGTCCTATTTCCACCACAGTACAGACCTGTCAACTTCATTGTTTTTAAAATCAGAGAGACATGGCTCAAAACCTGATTCCATTGTTTATTCACTGTGACCCTAAACAACAAATCCCAAAGCTTACATTTCTTCCCCTATAAAATGGGTTAACAGTGCCTATCTCATAGGGATGAGCTACAAGAAACACAGGGTCTGGCCTGCACACCATAAATGCCCAATTATTGAGCACAACTACGTGTTTATTATTATATTCTTTCTGCAAACACTGCTATTTAGTGTTTTTGTGCATCATGCCTGTGCCACACTGAGAAGTAGAGATGAACACATTGGAAGCACTCTGACTCCACCCACTTCTTCCCAACCACTTCCAATGCTTCCTTGTCAATCTCATGCTGAATTGACCTAGAAAAAGACAGGCACATTGGAGCAGATACTCACTTGTTATGATAATGAATGGTACCAGAGAGGGCTCGCACACAGATCCGGCAGCAAGTCAGATGGACCAGTTCACTCAGCCAGTTTTTGAGGCTGAAGGAAATAGAAACATTTTATTGTGCCATTCTGGGCACTCTTAAGAAACAATATAATAAAGGTTTTAATGTGCTTTTTCACAACAGCATACCACATTCTATTCTGGTGAACAGGTACAGTTCAATTCTTATAGTCTTATAGTCAATTGTTATAGTCTCATTGGCACATTTAGTATTAGATCACAAAAGTCTACCAAAAAAACTGGACATAACTCTAATGAAAAGTGGCTCAAAACCACTAGGCTATTATGACAAATTCCTGAACGAGATAAAGTGAAGCTTCTTTGGTCTTGGTCTTATGAGCTTGCCAATATATAAGACTCTCTTAGGTAACTCAGTTCATTTTCTTTCTTCAATTCTCCTTTGAAAAAACAACTTCTTTCAATTAATATGGAAGTATGATTTAAAAAAATCAAAGACTATGAAGATGAAGTGAGCAGGATTCTAATAAATGAGTAGAGAACATAAATTTAATGCAATGCAGCCTGGTGTGGTAGCTCACACCTGTAATCCCAGCACTTTGGGAGGCCAAGGAAAGCAAATCACAAGGTCAGGAGTTCGAGACCCCCCTGGCCTACATGGTGAAACCCCGTCTCTACTAAAAATACAAAGAATTAGCTGGGCATGGTGGTGGGTGACTGTAATCCCAGCTACTCAGGAGGCTGAGGCAGGAGAATCTCTTGAACCCAGGAGGCGGAGGTTGCAGTGAGCCAAGATCACACCATTGCACTCCAGCCCAGGTGACAGTACGAGACTCCGTCTCAAAAATAATAATAATAATAATGCAATACATAGGAATCAAACAAATATTCTCTTTGTGGACACAGCTAAGAAAAAAGACAGTCCTATATATGGCTGGATGGAAGGAAACATTTCACCTGCTGTCTGGCAGCTGCCCAACCAGTGTAGTTCCTATAACCAGCAAACTGATCCCAATGAAAGCCAAGGTAACCCTGAAAAAGAAAAGAGAGGGCCATATAAGATTTTGACACATAGCATGGAAGTAACCAAAAAGTTCCTAAATAATAAAATTGTAAATAAGTTGTAGAGTATCCACATGATGAAATATGATGCAGCCACTAAAATAACTGGGTAAATCTATATAGATCTAACACGGAAGAATGTTCCACGACACACTTTAAGAGGCAAAAAGCAAAGTAAGTTTCAGAATAAAGTACAGAATATGATGCCATCTGCAAAACAACAACAAACACATGTGTAACAAGTCTGTATATGCATAGAGAAGGCCTGGAAATTTTCACAAAACTATCAAGTTAAATCTATATAATCACCAAAGGGTTAAGAGGGCTAGTGAAGGGAATAGATTTAAAGGTGCTTTCATAATAAGAACACCAAAATATACCACCATGTAGACATCTTTTAATGCAAATCTAACTGTTGTCCTTTTGCATGGTTCAAGATAACTCAGAAGTTAGCAAACAAGGTGACTGACAGTACCTCTAACCTCCATATAGACATTGCCTTCTTTTTGAAAAGTGCTTTTAATATACATTCCAATGACTTCAAAAGGAAAGTAGTAATTTCTAGAAATGTAAATAGAATTATTCAAAAAGGAAAGTTAAGACAAAATCTTTCAAAATAAATAGGATTTAGTTAATAGAGAAGAAAAATCAATAGTTTAATCACATTTTACTAATAAGATTCTTTAAATCATCTTACTTTGTCAAATGGAGAAAGCAGAAACTTTAGATTATCTCATTACTCTCTCAAATCAAACCAGAGGCCTATTTATGTCTTCCTGTTCCCAGAAGAGCACACACGTGTTGCTGAATGCGTGAGGTATTCAATAAGCAGACTGAAGGGGACCACCCCTGCAGTATCAGAAGGACCCTGTGTGTCTGGGGAAGCTACAGTGGTTGCCTAAGGTTAAGGGTCAGGAACAGTAACCCTCTCCAGGGTGAAGCTCATTTACTGCTGACACGTAGCTATCTTTACTTTCTGATCAGATATTTGGAGCATAAAATCGTTTGTCTTAACCAATCCCAGGTTTCACATTAGATGATGATGAAGCAACACCTAACACTATACACCACGCAATATTCTAAGTACCTTTTATATTTAACACATTTAATCATCCCCAAGACTCTATGAGGCAATAATATTATCATTATCCCCATTCTACACATGAAAAAATTGGAGCATAGAAAGGCTAACTAACTCACCCAAAGTTACACAGAAAATAAGCAACCGAGCCAGGATTTGAACCCAGGGCTCCAGAATTCATTTTCATAAGCATTATGTTATTCTGTCTTTCAGGAGATTATGATTTAACATAGCAGTTTAGCATTATTTAAAACAAGAGAAATAAGCAGTGTCTCACGGCTACAATCCCAGCAGTTTGGGAGGCCCAGGCGAGTGGATCACTTGAGGTGGGGAGTTCGAGACCAGCCTGGCCAACATGGTGAAACCCTGTCTCTATTAAAAATACAAAAATTAGGAAGGCATGGTGACACATCCCTGTAACGAGAACCGCTTGAACCCAGGAGGCAGGGGTTGGTTGCAGTGAGCCAAGATTGTGCCACTACACTTCAGCCTGGGCAACAAAGTGAGACTGTCTCAAAAAAAAAAAAAGAAACAGCGTAAAAGGCAGCAATCTTAACCCATTTGGAGAAACACTCCATCAATAACACATCTGAACATGCAGCCCAATGTGTTTAAGAATAATGTGCATATTCTGTACTGATATAATGTACATTATAAAACATCTGGAAACGTAAAAAAAAGTATAAATATTTTTATTTAAAAATACAGTATTTTGAAATTATATTAATGTTGCAATTTGTCCTCACTCAAAATAGGATAATAAAGTAATACATTAATATATATTATTAATTTTATAATTATAACTATCAATTTTATAATTATAACTTAATAACATGATATATTACTATAACTAATAAATATAATTAATACTATTACAATTTTGAGCAAGAAGAAAGCTTTTTGAACATGCTTTCCTATAAATACCTTGATAAATAAGGTGTTAAATTTTGTTAAAGACTTGACATAGCAATTTGAAGGTCAGGTTCTTTTTTCTTGTCAGTTACTGATGCAATAACTAAATTATTGTTTAATCTCATCATCAATTATGCAAAACTTTTAAAATAATGTTTTGCCATCTTGCCCCAATGAGAATCACTTGTTCCCATCCATTAAATCAGAAGGAGTTTCATTTTAACATGTTTAACAATTGGGTTCAAAACTACTGAAACTTTTTATTTGCTAGATTAACAGGCCAGAACATTATGTATCCCAGTTTAAGTGAGGCAATGTTAGAGTTCTCATAGATGACATAAGTTTTCAGCCACAGTCTGTTTTTTAAGAGCTTTATTGACATACAATTCACATGCCATACAATTCAACCCATTAAAATGTGTAATTCAGTTCAGGCACTGGCTCACGCCTGTAATCCCAGCACTTTGGGAAGCCAAGGCAGGCGGATCACTTCAGGTCAGGAGTTTGAGACCAGCCTGGCCAACATGGTGAAACCCCATCTCTATTAAAAATACAAAAATTAGCCAGGCATGGAGGCACATGCCTGTAATTCCAGCTACTCGAGAGGCTGAGGCATAAGAATCGCTTGAACTCAGCGGGCAGAGGTTGCAGTGACCCAAGATTGTGTCTAAGTGATGGAGTGAGACTCTATCTCATCATAAAAATAAATAAATAAAATAAAGTATGCAATTCAGTAGTTTCTGTCATATTCACAGAGTTGTGCAACCATCACCACATTGTATCTTAATACAATCTGGTTTTTGAAAAGCTCATTTTGTAGTAGGTGCTTCTTTTAAAAAGCATTTACAAAGCAGTTCTTCCACACTGAAGAGTATCCACTAAGAGTAGGAGTCTGAACTCTGCATTTTCTTTTTGTTCTTGGATGCTTATATCACTGCACTTGATCTTAGCCCAAAGGCCAAGAAGTAATAAATGTTTACATTGCTTTATTATCTTAAATCATAGTTTCTTTGCAAAAATATTTTAAGTCACTTATCTATTTTGTGAGCATTTGTTTAGTAGATAAGGGAATCATAACAGCATTTTCTGGGCCCCCACAGCATGGTGAAAGCTAACCAACAACAAACAAGGGCATCTCAAGCACTGTGCTGTAGAATTCCTCATTCTTCCTTCAGGTTACCTTGGATACGAACCAATCCATATATTAAACTTGACTAAAGCTTCATGTGTTTTTGTTGTTGTTGTTGTTGTTTATTTTTTTTGAAATGGAGCCTCACCTCACTCTGTCACCCAGGCTGGAATACAGTGTCTCACTGCAACCTCCGCCTCCCGGGTTCAAGTGATTTCTCCTGCTTCAGCCTCCCAAGTAGCTGGGACTACAGGCATGTGCCACCACACCTGGCTAATTTTTGTATTTTTAGTAGAGATGGAGTTTAACCATGTTGGCCAGGCTGACATAGAACTCCTGACCTCACCTCGGCCTCCCAAAGGGCTGGGATTACAGGCAAGAGTCACTATGCCCGGCCCAGCTTCATTTTTTTTTTTTTTTTTTTTTTTTTTTTTTCAGACAAGAGTCTCGCTCTGTCACCCAGGCTGGAGTGTAGTAGCGTGATCCTGGTTCACTGCAACCTCTGCCTCCTGGGTTCAAGTAATTCTCTGCCTCAGCCTCCCAAGTAGCTGGGACTACAAGTGCGTATCACCACACCTGGCTAATTTTTGTATTTTTGGTAGAGATGGGGTTTCACCATGTTGTCCAGGCCAGTCGAACTCCTGGCCTCAAGTGATCTGCCCACCTCAGCCTCCCAAAGTGCTAGTATTACAGGTGTGAGCCACCATGCCCCTGGGCTTTTTCTTTTTAAGAATGAAAACAGAATAAATGGAAGCTCTAGTTATAAAGCGAACAGAAGCTTTTTTTCTTTCTTTCTTTCTTTTTTTTTTGGATACGCAGTCTCGCTCTGTTGCCAGGCTAGAGTGCAGTGGCACGATCACAGCTCACTGCAACCTCTGCCTCCCAGGTTCAAGCGATTCTCCTGTCTCAGCCTCCCGAGTAGCTGAGACTAGGTGTGCTCCACCACGCCCAGTTAATTTTTGTATTTTTAGTAGAGATGAGGTTTCACCATGTTGGCCAGGATGGTCTCGATCTCTTGATCTTGTGATCCGCCCACCTCGGCCTCCCAAAGTGCTGGGATTACAGGCGTGAGCCACTGCACCCAGCCAGAACAGAAGCTTTTAGTAAATAAGAGCTCTAATATTTCCTTCCTGCATGCCAATGGATAGTCTTGTACACTCCCAGAGTACACGAACCCTGTTTTGGGGGCACTAGTTTAAGGTTCAAGCAAAATTATATGTGAAACCTTGAATTTCGCTTCATTATCACAGCTGAAATGATTCCCAAAAGACATACTATGCCCCAATGTCTGAACTAGCAATATGGGCAAAAAAAAACAACAACAACAACCCAGAAATAATTTCTTAGAAATCTGCATTTCCCTGTAGTTAAGCAATACTTTCCCTGGTAATAAATCTGAATGAGGCAAGCATAGGCCACCCTGGGGGTGGTAAAAAGATTTCAATTCATGTGCCAAGTTTAGTTGGCAGGTAGCCACTGCCTGGAAAGCTCTGCTGAGAGGATGCCAAGGCCATGTCCAGGGAAATGAAGCAAGATGATCAACAATAATGTTGTGGCTGGTATACGTGCCTACTACTGCTACCACCACGCTAATCAGATCTCAGCCACTTACAGCTTCATCCCACCACGCAGTGCCTTCTACTCATGTTCCACATCGTGCTTTCCATAAACTAGGCTTGACACTGCCTCCTCACCAGGTGGCACTCAAGCTCAGAAGCAGAAGGGGACCCAGGTGGGGACACTTTAATAAGAGCAGTCCGTGATCACAATGAATTGGATGGAACAAACACACTTCGAAATGGCTCTCTCCCACGTGTAACCACACTCAAGAATTTTTTCTCTCTTATGCAGTTATGAAGTGCTATGGACTGGCAAAGAAAGGCAGTGGGTTCTGGTCAGCTCTTACAGTTTGGCTGATGCTCTAGTGAATATGAAACTGTTGATGATCTCTCTTCTTCTTCTTCCTCTTCCTCTTCTTCTTCTTCACTTCCCTTTTCTCTCCATCCTCAAGTTAGCTCAGACTCTAATAGCAAAGTGGATCCAGATTCTAAGATATACATTGGATTCTGAATATACAACTTCATTTGGGGAAAAATTGTGAAAGGAAAATGGATACGTAATACATTCCTTTAGAGGTCATGTTTGGTGGCATTTCCTACGTGGGAATGGGTGGAATAAGCACCACAGAACACTTACGTGGCCATTATGTACATGATTCAAAAAGAAAGCTGAGTCAAGCGTATCATCAAATTACCAGGCATATGACTTACCTCAGAGGCAGTAGGACACAATAGCGCACTATGACGCCCAGCACCCACACCATAGTGAGCCGCAGACTGATGTACTGGAAATTTACATTGGTTCTTGTGAGGAGATTCCATGACACTAGCTCCTCTGAGGAAAACCTCTGGGTCACTTCATCTTCTACAATGGCTTCCAATCCCTTCTTGGAGAAATAAAACACGTCAGACAGCTCAAAGTCCCTTCCTCGTAGACCAGAGAGCCCTTTTTCCATGGGTGACTCATCTCTTTGGATAATACCTTAAAAGAAAGCATCAGGACATGAGAAAATGCCATACGACAGAAGAATTGACCAAAAGGGCAACTTTAACTGTGTAGAAGTTAAATATGCCAAACAAGTAAATAAGTTTAATGGGTGACATCAGCCATCTTCAGAAGTAAGAGACAAACAATTGCAGTGGGAAAAGAGGTGAAATCACTGTGTCTGCATGAAATGGCCTCTACCTCATGATCTTTGTTAATTATAAAGAGGGGTTTTTGGTCCTCCATAATCCTCTTGTTTGGAATTCTTCCCTGCATACCATTAGACAAAGAACTCACACACACACACACACAAAATTCTCCCCAAGTATAACTCTAGATTGTGTAAAAACAAAGACTTCTGTTCTCCCTGACAAAAACCATAAAATCAAAAAGCAAGCAAAATGGCAAAAGATTCACCATAAATGGCAAAAAGTTGATTTTTTTTTTTTTTTTTTTTTTTTTTGAGACGGAGTCTTGCTCCGTCACCCAGGCTGGAGTGCAGTGGCGTGATCTCAGCTTACTGCAAGCTCCGCCTCCCGGGTTCATGCCAATCTCCTGCCTCAGCCTCCCAAGCAGCTGGGACTACAGGCACCCGCCACCACAGTCGGCTAATTTTTTGTATTTTTAATAGAGACAGGGTTTCACCATGTTAGCCAGGATGGTCTCAATCTCCTGACCTCGTGATCTGCCTGCCTCTGCCTCCCAAAGTGCTGGGATTACAGGCGTGAGCCACCACGCCCGGCCGATTTTTTAATATATGAAAATTATTTAATAAGAAAAACACAGCCTCCTGCATAAAAGTAAGCAAAGTTCACAGAAACAACATGAATATTAATAGTTAATATCATACAACTTTTCACTAGTGAAAAAGGAAATGTGAATTAGACAAAGGCCTATTTACAGTATCAAATCAGCAGCATTTTATTCAATGACTTGAAATGACACAGGTACTCTCATATTCAACTTGTACAAGTACGGAAGTAGTAGCAACTTTGTCAAAGTTGGTTTGGCAATGAAAAGACTGAAGATAGTTTTGCTGATGATCAATAACTCCAATTCTAGGAATCTGTCATCAGAAAATAATTAGAAATGTAGGCAAATGTAGGCAAGGGTGTTCACTGTAGCATTCTTCATTACAATTAATCCAAACAATGATATAAAATGCACCCATTAACAAATACTATAATGTTAATCAAGAAAAGACGGAATCTAAAACTATAGTTTCACTCTATGAAATACATATACATAGAAAAAATGTAAAAATGAAAACATTAAGTAGCTATTTCTAGACAATAGGATTAGGTTTTCCTCTCTGTGCTGTTACTGTATTTTCCATCAAGAAAATAATTAAATGATTTTTTAAAGCAGCATAAATTTTTATGAATTGAAAAATGACTACTGTCATTCAATTCTAACTATTAAATACAAAAAATGAGAAAGTCTTCAAAGAATAAAGAGTAGCTATATACACAGTCATATGATCATTCATTGGTTCCTTTGGGGTGTATCACAAAAGGTTACTTCTGACATTAGACTACAAAGAAAAATATTTTCTTTTGAGATAGTAATTAAGATGTTAAATTCCCTGAAAGAAGATCTTTTTTGATCACCTCATTTTCCAGTTTACTAGGAAATCAATGAGGAAAATGGACAGTGCTGTATTACCTATCCCGGAAAGAGTTATACGTGTATTAGTAGAAAGAGCTGTAATAGTTCAGTTTTCGGAAGGACTAATACTACACTAGAGGAGAAAGGAAAGAGGACCTGGAGTCAAAAGCCAAGTCCTGTTTAGGACAACCACCAGCTCCATGACTGATGTCTTTTATAAACTGAGAGAATGGAAACAATTTAGTTTTCTTACAGGGCTAATGTTTTATGATTTTAGGTGTGGGATATATGGGGATTTTGGAGTTTTTGTCCTACATGCAAAGTTTATACCTAGTCACCTTAAGAATTAAAGCAATAGGGGCTTGGCATGGGGGCTTATGCCTGTAATTCCAACACTTTGGGAGGTCAAGGTGAGCGGATCACTTGAGCCCAAGAGTTTGAGACCTACCTGGGCAACATGGTGAAACCTGTCTCCACAAAAAATACAAAAATTAGCTGGACATGGTGGCATGTGCCTGTAGTCCCAGCTACTTGGGAGGCTGAGGCAGGGGGATCACTTGAGCCCAGAAGATGGAGGCTGCAGTGAGCCATGATCATGCCATTGCACTCCAGCCTGGGTGACAAAATGAGATGGAAAGGGAAGAGGAGGGGAGGGGAGGGGAGGGGAGGGGAACAGAGGGGAGGGGCGGGAAGGGAAGGGAAAGGGAGAAAAGAGGGAGAGAAGGAAGGAAGGAAGGAAGGGGAGAGAGAGAAAGAAATAAAAATTAAGAAAGGAAAGAAAGAGAAAGAGAGAAAGAGAGAGAGGGAGGGAGGGAGAAAGAAAGGAAGGAAGGAAGGAAGGAAGGAAGGAAGGAAGGAAGGAAGGAAGGGAAGAAAGAAAGAAAGAAAGAAAGAAAGAAAGAAAGAAAGAAAGAAAGAAAGAAAGAAAGAAAGGGAAAGAAGGAAGGAAGGAAGGAAGGAAGGAAAGAAAGAAAGAAAGAAAGAAAGAAAGAAAGAAAGAAAAGAAAAGAAAAGAAAGAAAGAAAGAAAAGAAAAAAGAAAAAAGAAAAGAAAGAGGGAGGGAGGGAAGGGAGGGAAGGAAGGAAGGAAGGAAAAAAGTAAGTTCTTGAATGATTATTAGGTTCTCTTTTTCAGAAGTCAAGTCTAAGTGGTTTAACCTTTTTTCACCATCTCCAAAAGAGGTTTAATTAGTATTAGAGGATGAACCATGATAGTGTGCCTACTGAATTACCCTTTTGCTCTACAGGCACTGCAATACCACTCAAAGCCCATTACTCAATCTAAGTACTGGCCAGTATTTAGCAGTGCAACAGTTTCATTACAGCAGGAGGGAAGAATACCTTCTTCAGCAAATTTCTGAATGAAATACACTGGGGACAATAGACAGCCTTCCTAAAAATAACCTTTTTCAGAGGGGCCAGAGATAAGAATGCAAGTTCAATTGCCCCATATTATTTGACTGAGCCAAGAGAGAAGAGATCTGCAAACAACGCCAGCCCTCCAGCCCCTACACACTTGTTGTGCAATGTTTTCTCTGCCTTCTTACCTAGTTTATTCTGTGTAACTTAAATAAAATATAACTCAATTTTATATTTTAGTTAAGCATCTTTCAAAAGTATGTAGGTAACTGCAATTTATCTAGCCGACAAAGGATTAATTTCCCAAAGGATTAATTTCCAGAATATATTAAGACATACAAAAAATTAATTTAAAAATGTCAAAGAACTCTGTTTTAAAAATGGCTAAGAATATAGCAAGCAATTCATAAAAGAGTAGCCTTATTGATGAAACATTTGAAAACATGTTCTGCTTCACTATAATGAAAGAAATGCAAACTCAAACCACAGTGAGGCCAGGTATGGTGGCTCACACCTGTAATCCCAGCACTTTGGGAGGCCGAGGTGGGCAGTTCACTTGAGGTCAGGAGTTTGAGACCAGCCTGGCCAACATGGTGAAACCCCGTCTCTACTAAAAATACAAAAAATTAGCCAGGCGTGGCGGCACACGCCTGTAATCCCGGCTACTGGGGAGGCTGAGGCAGTAGAATCACTTGAATCCGGGAGGTGAGGGTTGCAGTGAGCTGAGATTGCACCACTACACTACTCCAGCCTGGGCAACAGAACGAGACCCTGTCTCAAAAAAAAAAAAAAAAAAAAAAAAAAGCCACAATGACATACTCCTTCATACCCATAAGCCTGATAAAGATGTTTAATCTGATAATGTGAAGTACTGGTAAAGATGTGCAAATTCAAACACATTCAGAGCCTATGACCTAGCAATTCCACTTCCCAGGTATAACTTAGGAAGATCTTTTTAAAAAATAATTTCAAACATACAGCGAAGTTGCAACAATAGGTCACTTCACCCAGATTCACTAATTGCCAACATCTTGCCACATTTGCTTTATTGTTCTATCTTTATATGTATATAAAAAAATTTTCCTGAGCCACTTAGAATATGTAGTAAACATCATACCCATTACCCCCAAATACTTCAGCATATGTTTCCTTAGGACACAGAGATTCACTTATTTAACCAAATTGTAATTATCAAAATCAAGGAGGTTGACATTAATGCAATATGAGAATCTAATCTACAGACTTTATTCAAATTCTGACAGTTGTCTCACTAACATGCTTTACAGCAATTTTTTTTTTCTGGTCCAGGATTGCACCTTACATTTACATGTCAAGTCATTTTAGTCTCTTTAAATGTGGAAAGGTTCCTCAGCCTTCCTTTGTCTTTCAAGATACTGACATTTCTTAAAAGTATGAGCTATTTATTTCATAGAGTAGCTCTTAATTTGGATTTGCCTAACGTTTCTTCATGATTAGATGCAGATTGTATACTTTGGGAAGTAATAATACAATGTAAGGAATGTGGTATTCTCAGTGCATCTCATCAGGAGACAGTTGTCATGACTGGTGATGTGTGGCTTTGATCACTTGGCTGAAAGTGGTGCTTCCAGGTTTCTCCATGTAACATTAGTATTTTTTCTCTTTATGATTAATAAGTAAGTACTTATTATGTACAAGCATCTATAAAGGGGAGATACTTTGAGACTACGTAAATAACCTGCTCCCCATGGATATTTAGGATATCAAACTTTGTATATTCAAATTTTCACCCGTGGTATTACCATCTATTGATGACTCTGGCCTTAATGAGTAAGTACTATGTGTCTTTTAAAATGATATTTTCTCACTCCATTGGGCATAGTGGTTCACATCTGTAATCCCAGTACTTTGGGAGGCAGAGGCAGGCGGATCACTTGAGGTCAGGAGTTCGAGACCAGCCTGGCCAACATGCGAAATCCCATCTCTAATAAAAATTTAAAAAATTAGCTGGGCATGGTGCCACACACCTGTAATTCCAGCTACTTGGGAGGCTGAGGCATGAGAATCGCTTGAATCGGGGAAGCAGAGGTTACAATGAGCCAAGATCACACCACTGCACTCCAGCCTGGGTGACAGAGTGGGACTCTGTCTCAAAAGTAAATAAATAAATAAATAAATAAATAAATAAATAAATAAATAAAATGATATTTTCTCACTCCTTCAATCCTTCCACATTTATTATTTGGCATTCCACCTTAACGAGCTTTTTCTCTTATTCTCCAGAGAGATTCTTATAAAACTGTGCACAAGGAGACATATACAAGAACACTTTGCCACATTGTTTGCATTAGCAAAATAGTGGAAACAATCTAAAGTCCATTAAGGAGAGACTAGATAAGAGACTTGATAGATATATACAGTGAATATATATGAGTTAAAATAAATTAGCTAGAACATGTACTAATTTAGATAATTCTGAAACATCAGAATGAGCAAAAGTCAGAATGAACACAAAACGATATGTGGAACACAACATTTTTATCATTTGAATAATGCAAAACAATAAATACTATGTATGAAGGATATATACATATGTAAGGGAAGTATGAAAATACGCATCAAGATAAGCATGAAAGTCAGAGTAGTAGTTCCAAGGAGTAGCAGGGTAAGGGATCAGGAAAGGATACCTAGGAGAATTCCATTGTTTCTGTAATGTTGTATTTATTAAATGAGGTGGCAAGTACACATGTGATATAACCAAAAAATAAAGTGCTACATGGAACTGACAGTTGTCCCTAAGATGAAAATCTGTACTGTAAAAGAGCAGGTACCAGACTATGAGTGCTCTAATATTAGGCACACAATATCTGAAAATGGGTACTATTATAAAATTAGGTGTCAGCCGGGTGCAGTGGCTCATGCCTGTAATCCCAGCACTGTGGGAGGCCGAGGCGGGTGGATCACGAGGTCAGGAGATCGAGACCATCCTGGCTAACACAGTGAAACCCCGTCTCTACTAAAAATACAAAAAAAATTAGCCAGGCGTGGTGGTGGGCACCTGTAGTCCCAGCTGCTGGGGAGGCTGTGGCAGGAGAATGGTGTGAACTCGGGAGGTGGAGCTTGCAGTGAGCCAAGATCGCACCACTGCACTCCAGCCTGGGCGACAGAGCAAGCCTCCCTCTCAAAAAAAATAAATAAATAAAATAAAATTAGGTGTCAAAAGGAGCATGACTGAAAACATAATGTTACTTTCTCCTGAGATATGTTGACTATTGAGGGTCTGAGTTACAGATCCAATTTACCTAAATATAAGCTCTGACAGGAAAAAATATTCAATTCAATCAACATATAGGGAACACTCACTATGCGTTAGGCCTCAAATTACAGATTAGAAAGGAAGAGAGGAAATACTTGTTTTGGCATCAAGAAATGTCCGTTGGCCGGGCGCGGTGGCTCACGCCTGTAATCCCAGCACTTTGGGAGGCCGAGGCGGGCGGATCACGAGGTCAGGAGATCGAGACCATCCTGGCTAACACGGTGAAACCCCACCTCTACTAAAAATACAAAAAATTAGACTGGCGAGGTGGCGGGCGCCTGTAGTCCCAGCTACTTGGGAGGCTGAGGCAGGAGAATGGCGTGAACCCCAGGGGGCGGAGCCTGCAGTGAGCCGAGATCGCGCCACTGCACTCCGGCCTGGGCGATAGCGAGACTCCGTCTCAAAAAAAAAAAAACAAAAAAAAAAAAAAGAAAGAAATGTTCGGGAGTAGACCAAAAGTCTTCAAAATACATAGAAATAAACACATATCAGATTAGCTGACACAGATTCAATTATTACATTAGTTTTGTTATCATTAAAGCAATCTCATTATTTTTAATAAGTTAATCCTGATCCTTCAAAGCAGCCCACAGTTCTTAAATTGGTAAAACTCTAATTCTAAAAAAAAAAAAAAAAAAAAAAAAAAAAAAAAAAAAAAAAAAAAAAAAAAAAATTCATTTTACTTTACAAGTCAGCTTTAAAAGGGTAAAGCCATAAACGTTTGAACTTTGTTCTTACACCAAATGCTTTCACCAAGCCAACACAGTCCATGCTTGGATGAAGATAAAATTACAACTGTCTATCTCACACAAGCGATTAATTGCACAAGCTGCCCTGTGCCCCTGTGCCTTTAGCAAGTCACTTGTACATAAATAATACCAGATACGAAAGGCCTGTGGAAATGAAGGCAGAAGTTGAAACCATCTCAAACATAATTAACTCTAAATTAGCTGAGTGAACTCTTAGAATAACAGTCCATTTATAAATCACACTAGTTTTTCTGTCCTCCAGTTGTAAAGCAAACTTCCTAAGCAAGCAGTTAAGAAAATCAGGGTCTACTGCAGACCAAAGAAGATACAGTAGCTTATATACAGAAGTAGACCCTTAATCTACCAATGGCCTGTGTTCCAAACACAGCAGCAAAACCTTCAGCATTCAAAACACTTTCTCATGGAAGCCTTGATTGAAGTGGTCTGTGTGAGCAAGAACCCCACCCAGTCATAAGCCTAACTCACTTAAAAACAGGTGATCACAGATTAGTAATAGCATGAAATAGAAAGTCTCTCTTAACACTGTTTCTATAGGAAATGTTTTAATTAAATCTAGTTTGGAATTGACAAAAATATAGTCCTAAATCCCATAGAGACTGGAAGGGGGCCTTGGGGGAATGTTCTGGGGTACTGGTAATGTTCAATTTATTGACCTAGATGAGAGGTATACAAGCAAGTTCATTTTAGAAAATGCATGAAGTTGTATACTTATTTCACACTCCTGTCTATGTATGCTATTATTTTAAAATTGGGCAGGGAGGAGTTTACCTGTTCCAGCACCAATTATTGGTGGTAGTGTCCTTTTCCTGGCATGAGAAGCTCCTCTGAGGGGCTCAGATCCTTGGCAAAGAAGCCAGGCCTAGATCCTTCCCTACCATCTCCAACTTCCTTCCTGACCCATAAATGTGATTAGTGTGATTAAAGAAGAGACCACGATAAGGTAGTATAATGACCAACTGTATGTATACATTGGGGAATGAGATGGACCAGTATTACTGGGATTAAAGAACAGAAATATTCAATGTCAAGGAAGAGGCCTGGCCCATGCTCAAGCAATCACCTAGATGTAAAGACTAAAAAGATCATTAAGGCCAGGTGCAGTGGCTCATGCCTGTAATCCTAGCACTTTGGGAGGCTGAGGTGGGCAGATCACCTGAGGTGAGGCACTTGGACCCAGCCTGGCCAATATAGTGAAACCCCATCTCTACTAAAAATACAAAAATTAGCCAGGCATAGTGGCAAGCACCTGTAGTCCCAGCTACTCAGGAGGCTGAGGTAGGGAATCACTTGAACACAGGAAGAGGAGGTTGCAGTGAACCAAACCAAGATCACGCCACTGCACTCCAGCCTGGGTGACAGAGTGAAACTCCATCTCAAAATAAATAAATAAATAAAATAAAATAAAAGATCATTATACCATCTTAACAAGCTAGTACCAAGGACAGATCCCAGGAATATACAACTGATCTCCATCTTGTCCTTCTACAGTTCATTAATCACTAGATATGTTAATATGTTAATTACTGCATCAACAACATAGTCACCTAACTGCACAGATTTCCAGTCCACGTTTTGCCACCTTTTCTCACAATAACGTAGCTGTAACACTGCAAGGCTAACCTCTAGATATACCAAATCCAAACCATTCCCTAAGCCATTAGTTAAGTTAAGATTTCCAGGACGTAAGTTAGGCCACTTGGCTAAGCTCATTTCACAGCGACTCCTTTGTGATCCTGATTATCACTGCTTCCCTTCCCAAACATTTTTAAATTTTTATATTGTTATTAATTTAGTTAAGCGTAATAATGGCATTAGGGTTATATTTTTCAAAAAGTCTATTTTTTGAGGTGTGTCCTGAAGTATGTAAAAGGATATGATATCTGGAATTAACTTTAAAATACTTTCATAAAAGGATATACATGAAGATGAGACTATGGTATTTCTAATTACTTATTGGTGTTCTCTACCTTTCTACATTGCTCATATATTGCTTCTGTAATTAATTTTTTTAATTGAAAAATACTTACACAAAGGAAAACCTGAAAAAAAAGAATAGATGTAGCAAATTCTTGATAACTGTTGAATTTGGGTGATGGGTATAAGGTGACTAATTGTACTATTCTTTCTACTTTTAAAAAATTAATACTATGCTTAAAAATGCACTTAAGAAATTTGTTGGAGATATCAGCTTAGCTGAGGATCAATTTCCTCATCTAAATTTTAATAAACCATTTGCTCATTCATTCAGTTAGTCAATATATAAAGAGTGACAGGCACCAGACAAGATACTAAGTTATAAGGGAAAGGGAGAGAAAAGGGTTGAGCTAACTCAGTGGTTCTCAAGCTTGGCTGCATTCCATAATTCTCTGTGGAATCTTTTAAAAAACAGACACCAGGGCCCACTCCCAGATATATTAAACTAAAATGTCAGCTACATTTTAAAATATATATATGAAGCCAAGCGCAGTGGCTCACATCTGTAATCCCAGCACTTTGGGAGGACAACGGGGGTGGATTACCTGAGGTCAGGAGTCTGAGACCAGCCTGGCCAACATAGTGAAACCCCCGTCTCTACAAAAAACACAAAAATTAGTCAGTGTGATGGCAGGCACCTGTACTCACAGCTACTTGGGAGGCTGACACAGGAGAATTGCTTGAACCCGGGAGGCAGAGATTGCAGTGAGCCGAGATGGCACCACTGCACTCCAGCCTGGATAAAAGAGGGAGACTCCATCTCAAACAACAACAACAAAACTATATATGTGTATATACACATATATATATATGCGTGTATATATATATATGTGTGTGTATATATATGTGTGTGTGTATATATATATATACACATATATATATGAGTGGGGGAAAACTATAAGGAAATACATTAAAATATTAGGCTTTTTCTGATTAATAAGTATTTCATATGGCTGATTTTTAACTTATTTATACTTCTGCAATGTCTAATTTTTCAACAAAGTATATATACTTTGTTGAAAAATACTTACATTGAGAAAAATACTTAAGATGTTATTTTTAAAACTATAATGAGATACTACTACATACCCACAAAAATGGCTAAAATTTTAAAAGGCCAAAAATACCAAGTGCTGGAGATGCTAGGGACCAACTGGAACTCTCAAACTTTGCTGCTGAGAGTGCACAAACATTTTAGAATACCATGTAGCAGTTTCTAATAAAGTTCAACAAATACTTGCTTACCCTATGGCACAGACAGTCATAAGAATGTCTGTACAATGTTTATAGCAGCTTTATTCCTAATGGCTAAAAACTGGAACTAACCCAATTATCAATCGACATTATAATAAATAAACAAACTATTGGTATTATATAAAGGAATACTCCATAGCAATTATTTTTAAAAATCCACTGATTCATGCAACATGGAGAAATCTCACAACTATTATACAGAGTGGGAACAAAAACAGACACAAAGAATATATAATGTATGATTTCATTTATGTAAATGTCAAAAACAGTAAAAACAGACGATGACAGAAATCAGAAGAGAGAGTACCACTGGGACTGAGAGATGAAGGGCAGATACTGAGCAGGGGCTTAAGAGAACTTTGAGATCATAAATGTGTTCTTTAGCTCGATTGGGGTAATCACATGAGCCTACAAATATGTAAAAAATCATGTATCTGAACACTGAATATGTGCATTGTAACAGATGCAAATTATACCTCAATTTTTTTTTAATCAGAAAAAAAAGATTACCTTTAAGAGTTCTCCCAAGCTGGGCACAGTGGCTCACGCCTGTAATCCCAACACTTTGGGAGGCCAAGGCGGGTGGATCACCTGAGATCAGGAGTTCGAGACCACCCTGGCCAACATAGTAAAACCCTGTCTCCACTAAAAATATGAAAATTAGCCAGGCATGGTGGTGCACATCTGTAGTGCCGGCTACTCAGGAGGCTGAGGCAGGAGAATCACTTGAACCCAGGAGGCGGAGGTTGCAGTGAGCCGAGATCGTGCCGCTGCACTCCAGCCTGAGTGACTGAGCAAGACTCCGTCTCAAAAAAAAAAAAAAAAAAAGAGTTCTCCCAAATTTCTAGCTATAGTTTCAATTAAAGGCTCTAGCCAATCCTATCTTCCCATGTATATTTTAAAATCTTCCTTCCTAAACTAAAAGGCAGCTGACATTGACTGAGTGTCTCCTGATGCCAGGCTGTATATAAAACCCTTGACACCTACACTTTTGTAGTCTTCGCAATCCTATGAGGTATTCTGTATTATCTCCAACTTATACATGAGGAAATTAAAGTGCAGAGGGGTTGAGTAACTTGCCTGGGGCCAGAGAGAAGAAGGAACTGAGACAGGATTTGCAACCAAGTCGGTGACTCCAAAACCAAGTGCTTCCTCATATGTTATTGCCTCAAGTTTCACATCGCTCTAACCAATACCTGCCCACTGACGAATCCCAAATATGTAAGATATTTCTCGTCAATACAACACCACCCCCAGTTCTTCCTTGCTAAACAGAAAGCCCTGAGTAGCAGCTCTTCCTAGCATTTCTCCTACCTTTGAGGGAAGAAAGATAACTTTAATTGATACAAGAAAATCTATATATGGCCCCTATCTAACATTAATCTAGACATGCACTTACAATTCACTTACACGTGATCATTCTTCCCAGAAAGTTGTGACACAATTCACCCTTTTTTTTTTAACTGAGGCAGGAATCTTTTACAGCTTGGAACCCACTTAAATTCCTCTCATTTAGAATCTCTGGGCCATCCTACAATAAGCCAAACAAACAAACAAACAAAACCATGCCCTGGGCAGTGGTGCACCAAGTGGTCCCCAGTGCTGTAGTTCAGCCAGGTCCACGTTGTCCAAGGAGACCGTTCTGCCCTCTGCTAAGACTCTGTAACATCAGTGCACAGGCATCCTGCCAGTATCCTTACTCTTCAAGGCCTCTACACGGCAGAAGCAGCTTCCCTACACATCTCACAGATGACATAGTCAAGGTTTAGAAAGGATAATCCCCCTTGATTTGTTGTTGGTGTTATTGTTCTTAGATATATTCTCACACCTTCTACCATTTTTACATCTTTATTAACCTGGACCGTCAGCCAGGCAAGGTTTATAGAAAATGGTCTCTCTTTTTTGGTCCAAAGAGCCAAGCAGCCCTGCTATATTCTTCTCAGTCATCACTCCAGGTTTCAGTTCAAGGTCTTTGAGCAAAAGACAGATTGACCATGAAGCCAGTAAGGTTAAACTTCAGGGTCCAAACTTGCATAGGCTCCTTCCAAGGTCCTGTACTTACTTTTGCATGGATCACTTTGTATTCCTTATTAAAGAAGGCCTCTAAATTGCATAAGCTTTAAGCCCCCACAAGACCTGGACTTGCCCCTACCTCTGAATAACATTATCATTTTGTTGATACAAACAACAGATCTATGTTAAACCATTCACCTTACAAATGAAGCTGATTTAGGAGAAATACTTAAGATGAGAGAACCAACTGATTACCAGTAAGCATTAGAACACTGGGAGGTCACAGACACACATAACATCTTTCCACTTAATTTCACATATTATGAATAGTATTTTATCTATTTAATGGTTACATTAGCAATGTACTAGTAAGAGAGGTTGCTCCTTGTTAGGCAGTTTTGTGGTTATTTTAAGGTTTTAAGTTTCTCAGTTATTGGAAGTGGGGGAATTGAAGAGGATGACAAATGAAAAATGTGAATACAGGCCGGGCGTGGTGGCTCATACCTGTAATCCCAGCACTTTGGAGGCTGAGGTGGGTGGATCACCTGTCAGGAGATCGAGCCTATCCTGGTTAACATGGTGAAACCCCGTCTCTAGTAAAAATACAAAAAGTTGGCCGGGTGTGGTGGCGGGTGCCTGTAGTCCCAGCTACCCCGGACGCTGAAGCAGAAGAATGGCGTGAATCTGGGAGGCGGAGCTTGCAATGAGCCTAGATCGCGCCACAGCACTCCAGCCTGGGCAACAGAGCGAGACTCCGTCTCAAAAAAAAAAAAAAAGTGAATACAAATGAAAAGTTAAAAAACACTACATAAAAGTTTCACAGGTTTCCTGGTAGCAATAACCCTGCCTTAGAAGAAATAGATTATGATATACCATACAATAGGTCCATAAAATGAAAAGGGGAAGAAGTCATCACAACTATGATGACCTTTAATATACATGAAATGTGCTCAAAATAAATGCATCTCCTTTGGTTTTCCTAAGCGCTACTCAATCATGATGACTCAATCACAATTGCCTATTTTAAAAAAAAGCATTCGAGTTATGAAACTACTCACGCTCCCCCTAGTAACATGGCCTGGGTTGGCACATTTAAAGATACAAGTTACAATCAATTTTTTTTTAATGTGAAACAGGGTAAAGTTTACTTTAAGCACCTGCACACCCCACTACTTAATCCAATTAAGAAAAATAAAATAAGGGCAGGAGAGAAAGCCCACATATAATACAAAATAAAAATGTGCAAAGAAAAAAACAGAAAATCATAAAAATCATAAGAAAGAATTCTACACAAAGTCTTCTGCAAATAACTTTAATGAAAATCTGGGTAAACAGATAATTTTCTATTTAAAAAAAAAGTTGCTCAAAGCTTTACTGACACCAAGAGATGAACATGCTAAAGAGAACCATTTGCACAGATGAAATAATGTTGCAGGCAGCAAAAAAATACCTACATATGCACCCCTAACCAACCAATAAGCACCAGACCCAGGCTTTTTTTGTTGTTGTTGTTTTCAAATAGAGACAGGATTTTGCCATGTTGCCCAGGCTGGTCTTGAACTCCCGAGCTCAATGATCCACCCGCCTCAGCCTCCCAAAGTGCTAGGATTACAGGCATAAGCCACCACTCCTGGCCCAGACCTTTTTTTAAGGAATTCTACCAAACATTTAAACTGACAAGGGAAGGAGAAATAAAGGAAGATAGGTAAGTAATACACTAATCACAAGTATAAGAATCAACTGTAAAAATCCTAACTTCAATTTTGGCAGACAACTTCCAGCATCATATTATGACCAGGTAATGTTTATTCCATAAATGCAAAGACAATTCAAATATTTTTAAAGTTATTAATAAAATTCACTACAATGGGTCTAAGAGGGGTAATCTATCTTCACCATCAGACATGCCTTAAAAGCATGAAAATTCAACATTCACTCTTAATTTAAAGTAACAAAACAAGAATCAGCAACTATTTAACATGAGATGGAAAAATAGATCAAAGTTGACATGATCTTTATTGGGAAGACCCTAAAGGCACTGAAGACCATCCACATAGAAATGCCAACTTGCCAACTAGCACCACTACTGTTTAGCACTGCAGGGAGTATCAGCCAGCACAACCAGACAAGAGAAAAAAAATGAAGTACAAACTAGGAAAGAAATAAAATGCAAACCAAAGTTGAATAAGAAATGGCAAGCCTATCAATATCTGAAGATAAAATAATTATATATCTGAACAAAAGGAAATTCCTGAAAAACCATATACAGTATGAGAATTCTTAATTTTATATTCTTCTACCTTACTAAAGTAGAAAATTTTCCTATACATGAACAACAATTATTTAGAAAATATAATGGAAGAACACACCTTATTTATAATAGCAACTAAAATATAAAACTAAGAGGAAATGTGCAATACCTATCTGAGGAAAATTTTAGAACATCTCTTAAGGATACAAAAGAAAACCTAACAAATGGGGAAAAAAAAAAAAGAAAAGCTAAACAAATGGGGGAAAAAAAAAGAAAATCTAAACAAATGGAAAGATATAATGTCCTCAGAAAGTAAGACCCAACATAGATAATGTCAAACCTTCCTCAATAAATTTACAAACTTAATACAACTCCAATAAAAATGGGTTGTTGTATTTCCTTGTATCATAGAAAGCTGAATCTCAAGATCATATGGAAAAATAAGTAAACAAGAATAAATAGGAGGCCGGGCGTAGTGGCTCACACCTGTAATCCCAGCACTTTGGGAGGCTGAGACGGGTGGATCACTTAAGGTCACGACTTCCAGATCAGCCTGGCCAACCTGGTGAAACCCTGTCTCTATTAAAAATAATAATAATAATAATAATAATAATAAATTAATTAATTTTTTAAAAAAAAGAATAAATAGGAAAAGCAATAAGAACAACTATTTCTACCAGACACTAAAACAACTATTGGCCAGGTTTGGTGGCTCACGCCTATAATCCCAGTACTTTGGGAGGCCCAGGCAGGTGGGTCACCTGAGGTCAGGAGTTCCAGACCAGCCTGGTCAACATGGTGAAATGCCGTCTCTACAAAAATACAAAAATGTGGGAAAGAGAGTTTCTGGGATGCCAGATGAGTTGGTCTCCCATGTGTGAGACAGCCATGGGGAGCCATGGGTGGCCTCTGAGGAGAAAAGTCTCCTTATTGCCTTCATGTCTTTATGCCCTGAGAGCATAACAGCTCGGCGGCATTCCACAGGTTGCTCGGGGAAATAACACTCCCTTGAAGCAGTGGAGTATAATCAAACATCTTGGTTTCTCCTGAAACCCACTCCCACCCATGTCAGTTAAAGATCTTAGGTAGTTTAGACACACGCCTTTGCTCGAGGAAACTCACAGAGTTCTCCTTCACTGATGAATCCTTTTCTTCATCCCTTCCTACCCCTCCCATTTGCCCTAAGAACAAAGCGCTTGTAAACCAACAAATTGGGTGGAGGCCGAGAGCTCGGGGCATGAGCAAGCCTCCGACGCTCCGGTCCCCTGGACCCGCCTTTTAAACTCTTATTTTGTCTCTTTCTAATTCCTTTGTCTCCGCCGGACTCGGGGTACCCACCGGGTGGTGTGGGGCTGGTTTCCCCAACACAAAAATTAGCCTGGCATGATGGCAGGTGCCTGTAATCCCAGCTACTAGGGAGGCTGAGGCAGAATTGCTTGAGCCCTAGAGGCGGAGGTTGTGGTGAGCCGAGAGCGCACCACTGCACTCCACCCTGGGTGACAGAGCGAGATTCTGTCTCAAAAAAACAAACAAAAAAAAATCAATAATTAAGATAATATGATAACAGTGCATGAGAAGACAAGTACACAAATGAAATAAAATAGCTCAGAAACAGATCCAAATGTATAAACTGGAGGCTGGGCGTGGTGGCTCACACCTGTAACCCCAGCAATTTGGGAGGCTGAGATGGGAGGATCACTTGAGGTCAGGAGTTCGAGACCAGCCCGGTCAACATGGTGAAACCCCATCTCTACTAAAAATACAAAAATTAGCCAGGCATAGTGGTGGGCACCTGTAATCCCAGCTACTTGGGAGGCTGAGGCAGGAGAATCACTTGAACCCAGGAGGCAGAGGTTGCAGTGAGTTGAGATTGCGCCACTGTGCTCCAGCCTGGGCAACACAGCAAGACTCCATCTCAAAAAAATAAAATAAATAAATAAATAAATACATATAATGGAATTCTGGAAATTATTGAAGATGCGTCTCAAATCAGTTGGTTAAAGATTTTTTTCACAGAGTGTTGCGACAACTAGATAGACATCTGGAAAGACACACAAGAATAAATGAATCAAAGATTTTAACATAAAAAATAAAACCATAAAAGTAATCAAAGAAAACTTTGGAGAATTCCCTTAAAACTTGGCAGAGGAAAAAAAATGTTTCTACTAAATCCAGAAGTTAGAAAAAGAAAATATTGATAAATTAGACTATATATAAATGAAAAATGTCTGCACAGTAAGAAGTATGATAAGCAGAGGTAAAAATACAAATTGCAAACTGAAACAAATATTTGTCTCTCACCACAGACAAAAGCTAATCCTTTTTTTTTCTTTTTTTGTGACAGAGTCTTGCTCTGTTGCCCAGGCTAGAGTTCGGTGGTGTGATCGCAGCTCACTGTAGCCACAACCACCTGAGCTCCTGTGATCCACCCACCTCAGCTTGCCAAGTAGCCGGGACCGCAGGTATGCACCACCACACCTGGCTAATTTTTTGAGTTTTTGTAGAGAGAAGGTCTTGCTATGTTGTCCAGGCTGGTCTTGAACTCCTGGGGTCTAGCTATCCTCCCGCCTCAGCCTCCCAAACTGCTAGGATTATGGGCATGAACTACTACACCCACCATTAATCATTTTAATACATGAGAAGGTCCTAGAAAACAAACAGGATAGCCTGACAGAATAATGGTCAAAAAACATGAGTAGATAGTTCCCAGAAAAATTAATGCAACTGACCCTTAAACATGAAAACATGTTCAAATGTTTTATCAGAGAAATACTAATTAGAACCAAACCGCATTTCCACTTCTTGTCTATTGGTTTGGCACAAATCCAAAAGTTAGACATATATTTACAACATTGGTGAAGCTGTGGGGAGACAGGCACTTGCATACACTCCTAGTGGGAACTCATAGCCCCACTAGCCTCCATAATAGAGGCCATTATGGAGGGCAGTTTGACACTATCAATCCAAATCACACATGTTCTCTGACAGAGCAATCCTATTGCTAAGAATTCATGTTACAGATATATTTACTTCAGCATCATTTTTTAAGCAGCAAAGGTTGGGAACCACAGGTAAATTGAACTATTTGCATTCATATAATGAAACTTCTTACAACTCTTAAAAAAGAAGAAACTTTCTAAGTAATAATAGAGAAAGGTTTATGGGATATATTATAAGTGAAGAACACAAGGCTCAGAATACTGTTTATAGGACATCATGTTTGGTGTTAGCAAGTCAAGAAAATAATAAACACTTGGCCGGGTACAGTGGCTCATGCCTGTAATCCTAACACTTTGGGAGGCCAAGGCGGGTGGGTCACCTGAAGTCAGGAGTTCGAGACCAGCCTGGCCAACATAGCAAAACCCATCTCTACTAAAAACACAAAAATTAGCTGGGTGTGGTGGTGCATGCCTGCAATCCCAACTATTCAGGAGCCTAAGGCAGGAGAATCGCTTGGACCTGGGAGGAGGAGGCTGCAGTGATCTGAGATCGCACCATTGCATTCCAGCCTGGGAGACAGAGTGAGACTCCATCTCAAAAAAAAAAAAAAAAAAAAAGAAGAAAGAAAAAATAAAATAATAAAGACTTGCATTAGAATAACATATTTGTAATGTAATAGCATAAAGAAACAATGGAGAGATACATAAGAAACTAACTTGGGATAGAGGTAGTCAGTAACAGGAGTGGAAGCTACATTTATTAAAGCATATGTTTTTAAATTGCTATAATTTTTGACCCATGTGAGTTTATTACTTATGCAAAAAATTAAAACGTTTTTAAAACGATGAGTAAAACCCAAATTTAAAGTGTTTACACAATAACTTGCACACACATATCCTTTGCGTGTTTGTCCACCAGCACTAGCCCTCCCAGAAAAACATCAGTATGATGGTTCAGCATGTCCTCAGAATTGTAAAGATAAAACAAAGTAAAACTAGATTATGGTGCTTTCCACATAACTAATGTTACCCTTTCATTCCAAATCTTACATAAAATACTTAATTTCTGTGCTAGCTTTAGAAGTCCCTAATAATCTCCCACCTCATGTGTATAAATTCACAGAAAAGCACAGCTTACAGATAACACATTCAATGTTTTTGTTTCTGAAGAGGAGTTGGTAGACAACTTCTATTATTCTTGGGAGAAAAATATAGCCCACAAGAGTAGCAGTGGACAGAAGAATGAGGAGAGAATATATATATATAGTTAGAAGTCTCTATCTATCTATCTATCTATCTATATCTCTTTCTATCTCTCTCTGTTTCCATTTTCTCTGCTCTTATTCTCTTACCTGGTTGATCTTTGTCTTGTTCATTCATCTCTTCCTGCCCTTTTTCTATGAATTTTTCTCCAGCCCTTGTAAATGTCTTTCATTTTCTGTGAGTTCATTAAATCTACTATTTCATCTTTCACCCTCTGCAAATAATTCCCAACTATGCATCTATAGTCCTGACTTCTTCGCCAGGCTCACATTATTATATGGCTGCTAGGAAACTCCACCAATCCCACTGCTCTGGTTCAAGCCCCCATTATCTTCCAGAATGGCCTCCTGTCTACTACGCCTCCTTTCTCCACTTCTCCCACACACATCCTGTCTAATGCCACTCATAAAACTGCCAGATTCATCTTTTCAAAACTTTGAGATCTCCTCCTCTAAGGAATGAATTTCCTAGCCTGGCATTCACTTAAAGCCTTTTAGGATTTGACGTAAACCTGCATATTCAGTCTCAAGTCCATCCATGCCCAACTCATCTTCATGCATTCTAGCTGCAGCCAAACTATATTTTATATATATATATTATATATATATTATATATATATATAATATATATATATTATATATATATATATATATAATATATAAAATAACTAGAAATCAGTTATTGGGTGCCTAATATCTCCTAGGCTCTCCTAACCTCCTGCCTTTGCTTACAATTTCTTCTACCAGATGCCCCTTTTCCTGAAATCATTCTGAGTTTTCACATCAGTAGAACTGTTTCCTTGTTTCTTATTTTCCTTAAGCTCATGACTCCATTCATCACATAAGGCGTTGTCTTAAATGATCACAAGCAAAGATCAAAAAATGACCAATTATATCAAACTTACGAAATATCATTTCCAAATTTCTAAAATTAAATCAGGCTTGTACTAAAGAACATGATAGATGCTTGTCCTATGGAGATAAGGATGGAATGGCAAGGCAATTCTCTCTCTCTTTTTTTTTTTTTTACCAAAAAAGGGGGGAAAAAGGATATTAGTTTTGTTATCTTCCTCAATTACAAAATGCCTGTTTTTTACTCTCTGTCACACAAACCCTGATAAACATGCTTCTTTATCGATTAGCACAGTTGGGCTTATACTTTTTGTACAGTATGCCAGTGGAACATCAGATGCTGAACACTAGCACATGCTGTGATTTTGCAATCCCTGCCCACATCACACACTTGATATCATTTGTGGGAGGTCATGTGGGTTGGCCTACACACTGGCAAGTAAACTCATTGATTTGGACAATGAGTCACTGACAATGAGGATGTTATTTTATTTTAGCAGGTTTGTGCCAACGTCATTGCAGAGGCAAGAAGAAGAAGGGATATGAATGATACACTGACAGATACCAACTTAATAAATAAAAAGCTTGCCAATCTTGAAAAAAAAGGAACATGGACTTAACACCTTGCAAAGATTTTAAGTATTTTACATATTCTACCAAGCATGTTATATAGCCAAAGCCTGTAATCTCTTTCTGGCATTAATCTGCTTTTTAAAAAAATTCTGTTTTGTTTTTGTTTTATTAAAATCATGGCCTCTGGAATTCATTATCAGTTTCTCTCCACTTAAACCAAGAGAGTACTGCTGGTTGCAAAAGGATGTTAGAAATCATCCCCCATTGTGCTGTTTTCTCTAATAATTTGAAGAAGGGTGTTATTTGCTATGTGTATACACTGTCTCCAAAATACATTAACTCCTTGTAAAGGCCTGACGCCAGTTGTATTAGTCTGTTCTCACATTGTTATAAAGAAATACCTGAGATTGGGTAATTTATAAGAAAAGAGGTTTAATTGTCTCACGGGTCTGCAGGTTGTACAGGAAGCATGGCAGCATCTGCTTCTGGGGAGGCCTGGGGAAACTTACAATCATGGCAGAAGGCAAAAGTGGGGACAGGCACACCACATGGCCAGAGCAGGAGCAAGAGAGAGAGACGGAGGGGAGGTACCACACGCTTAAATAACTACATCTTAGGAGAACTCATTCACTGTCATGAGGACAGTACCATGGGGATGGTGCTGAACCATTCATAAGAACCTACCCCTGTGATCTAACCACCTCCCTGCAGGCCCCACCTCCAACACTGGGGATTATATTTCAACATGCGATTTGAGCAGGAGGACACATCCAAACTGTATCACCAGTATTCCTCCAAGTTGCTGTCCTCTGCATAGAGTGCTTTTTCCCAGATACTTAAAGGTAAAGGGGCCAAAGTATCCCACCCACAAAATCTGTCCTCAGTATCCCCTGCATCCTCATGCTTCAGAGTCACTCTTATTTCTCAGGTGAAATGAGCAGGTACGTATGACTGTGATGTCACTTAAATACAAAAAAATACAAAAAAAAAATTCAAACAAAAATAAATAAGAAATGAGCAGGTACGGCTGCCTGGGCACCACACCAGAGAAGCTCAGAGGCAAGGTCCACCCACCCCAGGGAGAAACGCTGAGGATCAAACTGGTGAAGAGCAGGCCACATTGCACTTTCCTCTTGCTCTTGTTCACAAGCTGTTCCTCAGAAATCACAGGAGATGTAAAGGTCTACTGGTTTGCTCCCTGAGGGACCTTCTGGAAACTTCATGGGCCTCTAGGCAATCAAAGCTCTTCTTTCACCAGCCCAATCTTTGGAGGAAACAGAGCTTTGAGGAAGAGAAGCAGGAAAACCAGGCACCTGGTCTAGAAAAGTCAGTGAAGGGGGTCCACAGTGGAGCTTCCACCATACTATTCTGAGGCTGCTTCACAAAGACCAAAGCTCCTGCCTAAAGGTTTTGCCTGCTCCCCAGGCATCCAGACATCACTGGCTTTTTCCTACTCCAACCCAAGAAAAGGATTCTGTCTAATCACAAGTCCAATTGGCTGTCTCTCTTGTCTGACCAAAATCCTGTTCTCGCCAAACAGAAGCACTGCTATCTACTTCCATCTCCCCAGCCTACTGTGTACAAAGCATGCCTTGCCACCTGCCCCCCTCATCTTTTTGTTCATGTGAGAATGCATGGGTCCCAGGAGCTTCGGTGAGAGGACAGAGAAAAATGGGAAATTCCATTACCAAAACATTTTAGAGAAAGAAGAAAAGGCAAAGGAGAATGGAACGATTGTTGCTACTTGCTGGCAGATTAAAAGAACTGATGAAGAACTTTCCTGCTTTCTCCGGGTGCACTGGCTCACGCTTGCGATCCCACACTTTGGGGGGCCGAGGCAAGCAGATTGCCTGAGCTCAGGAGTTCAAGACCAGCCAGGGCAACACAGTGAAACCCCATCTCTACTAAAATACAAAAAATTAGCCAGGCGTGGCAGCATGCGCCTGTAATCCCAGCTACTCGGGAGGCTGAGGCAGGAGAATCGCTTGAACCTGGGAAGCAGGGGTTGCAGTGAGCAGAGACTGGGTCACTGCACTCTAGCCTGGGTGACAGAGCAAGACTCTAACTCCAAAAAACAAAAAAAAAATCTTTCCTGCTTTCTCTGCTTATATACTAAGTAATCCACATGAGATAGTCCCATGATTATAAACACTGCCTAAAGAAGGATTTAAAAATAAACAGACATTTAAAATTTTTATAGAGAACTTTTTACAATCAAGATGACCAGGCACTGTTAAGAAAATGAAAAGAGCTTTGTTATATAACTTATACCTCTCCCAAAATTCTAAACTATTTATCCTACTTGGAAAATATCTCATATAATCTACCTGCTAGTCTGGTCCAGTTTTCTAATCATTTTTTGCTAACAAGAAGTGTTTTCTTATATACAATATAATTCTTTTATTTCCATTTAAGCCAATCTTTTTGTTCCATCTCTTAAGAATTTGAGAAAATGTGGGTTTGCTTCCTCTTTCCAACTTAGTTAACCAACTTAATATGAGTCATCCCTTGGTTTTTCTCTAAATTCAGTAATCAGCCTTCACAGATCTCACTTAACAGATTCACAGATCTCTTAACCATTTTTCAGGCTTCAGAATTTCCTCTTTGCCACCCTTAATATGAACAGTTAACCTGGGTTTATCTACGCTTTTACATCAAATCCAAACTGCTTTGTTTTTAGGGCCTCCAGAACCCAATCTTGCTTTCCCACAACCTTATTTCTATGTTTTGTCCCTTCTATAAACTAAATATACTCCCATTGCTAATTAAGCTATTCCCTCATCCCTCCAGTTTAGACAGTCTTCTCACTTTATTTAATCCCAATCCATCTCCACATGGCCGCTTCAACACCAGTATATCCACCAAAAAACATTTGCCAATGTCCCCCATCCAGAATGATCTCCTTTCATATTGCAGGCAGAAACCAGGGTGAGTGGTTCAGTCATGGCTGTGTGGTTGAATGTGCTGGTTCTGTTAGCACTGCAGCATCTTTTTAGGTTCTGTTTTGCCTTGTTTTTCACTGGTTGTCTAAACCTCTGCCTCTGTCATTCTGTGGCACACCTTTATCACGTAACCCAGCCCAGTTTTTTTAATCCCATTTTAGAGCATCAGCTATGGGTAAACAATCTTGAAAGCAGTCCCACTCTCTGATGGTTCATTCATCAAAACTGTCAAGATGACTTTCTTTTTTTTTTTTAAGACAGAGGCTTGCTGTGTCGCCTAGGCTGGAGTGCAGTGGTATGATCTTGGCTCACTGCAACCTCCGCCTCCCCAATTCAAGTGATTCTCCTACCTCAGTCTCCCTAGTAGCTGAGATTACAGGCATGCACCACCATGCCCGGCTAATTTTGTGTATTTTTAGTAGAGATGGGATTTCACCATGTTGGCCAGGCTGGTCTCGAACTCCTGACCTCAGGTGATTCACCTGCCTCGGCCTCCCAAAGTGCTGGGATCACAGGCATGAGCCACCACACCCAGTCAAGATGACTTTAAATTCTATTCCGGTTTCCTACATTGTTTAAAACTCTGAGTCTCCAATCAACTTCATTGCCCTTTACATTATGTCAAATTCATCAATACTACCTCAAACAATAAAATCAAATGCATGCCAAAACCCAGCTACTCAACATGTTCCCCAACTCTCAGTTAGTGACCCTCTCTGGTACACAGCGTGAGAACCCCTATCTATCCTCCAGATCAGAGGTAGTGCAAAGGCCAACTCCAAAACAATGAGACATGAGTAGCTGTCTGCTGGATTGCATGAAAGAGTTCTGAGGACATATCATGGTTTAGGGCATCTTGTCCAACCCATGGCCTGTGGGCTGCATATAAATGTGTGTTGGGCCACATTCAACATTAAAACATTATGAAATTTTTTTGCAATTTTTTTTTAAGCTCATCAGCTATTGTTAGTGTTAGTGTATTTTATGTGTGGCCCAAGACAATGCTTCTTCCAATGTGGCCTAGGGAAGCCAAAAGACTGGATACCCCTAAGTTAGAGTCAAACTTCATCAACTAGTGATGTCTGCCAGGATGATGGCAAGGGAACAGACAGAATGGATTTGCTGACCCTGTTATTTGGGATTAGAATAGAATCAAAAGCTTTACTAAAATAAAGGTAACTTCAATACTCCGATTGCTACATGGTTTGCACATTTGTAATAGAATAATTTGTACCCCTCCCCTTTTTTATAACTGAGTAATTTTCTGCTAGCATCTCTCAGTTACCAAAACCAAGTTAAATGTACTGCCATAGACTAAATCTTTGCATCTGCCAAGACTAGTGTGTTGAAACCTAATCCCCAATGTCAGAGTATTTGGAGGTGGGACCTCTGGGAGGTAATTAGATCATGAGGGTGGAGCCCTCATGAATGGGACTATTGCCCTTATAAGAAAGGTCCTAAAAAGATCCCTCACTCCTGTCATCATGTGAGGTTACAGCAAAAGGACAGCCCTGTACAAACCAGGAAGCTGGGCCTTGATCTTGGGCTTTCCAGCCTCCGGAACTGTGAAAAATCAGTGTTTGTTGTTTATAAGCCACCCACTCTATGGTATTTTGTTATAGCAGCCTGAGTGGACTAAGACAAATACTAGGCTAGAAGCAATAGATTTACTTTTTTTTTTTTTTGAGAACCGTAGATGAGAAAATCTAGTTCTTTTTTCATCATTGCATATTCCAGTAGTTCTCCAAAAACTTACAAAATAATCAATGCTGATTATAAAATAGGAAAATTTTAACCCCAAATATAAATATTAGCCACATAATTAACTGTGAGTTTTGATGCATAAATGGGGATGGGGTGGAGCTGAGGACACTAATCAATTGTCAGTTAGCACTGAAAAAAAAATAGCGTTGAGAATAACAGGCAGAGTTCCCTTTTTTGTTTGTTTCTTTTTCTTTTTTTTTTTTCTTGAGACTGAGTCTCACTGTGTCACCCAGGCTGGAGTGCAGTGGTGCAATCTCAACTCACTGCAACCTCCACCTCCTGGATTGAAGTGATTCTCATACCTAAGCCTCCCAAGTAGCTGGGATTACAGCTGTGCACCACCATATCCGGCTATTTTTTTGTATTTTAGTCAAGACAGGGTTCCACCATGTTGGCCAGAATGGTCTTAACAGAGTTTCATTTTAACGACTAACATTTTAACAACCCACTCTTGACCTACATCTTGGCTGGCAGCCCACATTAACTCTGTTGATTTGGATACAGCTAACTTGATTAAACAAGAAA
Source organism: Homo sapiens (assembly GCF_000001405.40). NCBI lineage: Eukaryota > Metazoa > Chordata > Mammalia > Primates > Hominidae > Homo > Homo sapiens. Next base: position 83,556,178 of record NC_000004.12, on the reverse strand, counting down.
TCCCACAGCACAGAAGCATTCATAAAACTCCACTGTCAAATGAACCATTAATTCACTTAAAATGTCAGCCTTGTGGTTTGGCATTTATGTATGGTATCTTTGATTGTAATGCTAAATATTCTTAATAGATTTGTTTCTTCAAAAATTTCATTGATAAGGACAAACTGTTAGGAGCTTCCTGGTAAGTGACTATATAATAAGAAAAAAACAAACTGACTTTTCTTCTACTATACTCTCACCAAAACACAGAACACTCCTGTGACCCCAGATGTGTGGGTTTTTCTCCCACACCAAACAATTCTTCGACACCAGCTAGATGTCCCATAATTCAATTAAATTTTGACACTATCTACCTGGAGTTAGAGTCAAATTCCACAAATGAAGGGCTCAGTTCTACAAGACCGCCTCCACTTCAGGTGCCAATTGCAAGTCCAAGCCTTTGGTACTTCTGATCTACCAGCTATAAATTGAGCGTTCCCATAGTCCCTTCCTCAGGTTCAGTCATTTGCTAGAATGGCTCACAGAACTCAGGGAAACACTTTACTTACTAGTGCTGATGTATTACAAAGGATATTTTAAAGCACACAAATGAACAGCCAGATGAATACTGCACTGACGACAAGGTTCAGAAGGGTCCCTAGCACAGAAGCCTCTGTTCCCATGAAGCTGGGGTGCACCTCCCACCAGGCACCTGGATGTGTTCAACAATCTGAAAGTTCTCTAAACCCTGTATTTTTTAGTTTTTATGGAAGCTTCATGACATCAGCTTCCATAAAATGATTAAATGATCGATTTAATCATTGCCCTTTGGGGAGCAATATGGAGGGGAGCTGAAAGTTCCAACCCTGTAATCACATGTTTGGCTCCCCTGGCAATCAGCCACCATCCTGAGGCTATCTATCCAGGAGCTCCCAGCCACCAGTCATCTCATCAGCATACACAAAGACACTATCACTTATCACTGCAGAGATGCCAAAGGTTTTAGGACCTATGTGACAGGAAAGGGAGAGGGAGCAGAAGTCTAATACATATTTCTTATTATGTCACAGTGACAAAGCCAACTCTCAGAAGAGGAGGCCAGGCGCAGTGGCTCACACCTGTAATCCCAGCACTTTGGGAGGCCAAGGCAGGTGGATCACCTGAGGTCAGGAGTTTGAGAACAACCTGGCCAACATGGCAAAACCCAGTCTCTACTAAAAATATAAAAATTAGCCGGGCATGGTGGCGTACACCTATAGTCCTGGCTACTCAGGAGGCTGAGGCTGGAGAATCACTTGAACCCGGGAGGCAAAGGTTGCAGTGATCCGAGATCACGCCACTGAACTCCAGCCTAGGTGACACAGCAAGACTCCATCTCAAAAAAAAAAAAAAAAAAAAGAGGGAGCTTCCATTCCATTCCATGTGTAGAAGAGGAGTCACCTTAAACATCAAGAGGAGAATCAGAAAGTATGGACCAGAGGAGCTAGTAAGGAAGGCATAGTAAGACAGTAGTAGAAAGTGGTAACAGGGGCTTTTGAGTAGAACAGACAAACTGGGATTCTTTTCAAGCTGCCTTTGACCAGCCATGCAATGTAGAGCAAGTAAAATCATGATTAACAAGACCCCCTCATATATAATAAATAATATGGAACAGTGGGGCCAATGTTTAAAAAATGGTGGTGATTATGATTATTATTATTGACAGGTTCTTGCCTAAAAGATAGAAACAAAATAAAGAAGCTTTGGAGTTTTGATTGGGATTTTTCTCTGGGGGATAAAGAGACCAGGAGATATGCAGAGGGTGGGGAGCCTGGTTTGGGGAATACTTCTAAAATGACAAGCTGTATTTTCAATGTGGTAGATACTGGCTAAGAGGTCTGCTCCTATCAACTGTGAAGAGAACTTCCCTAAATAAATAAGGCAGCCAGCCTTTAATCTGAGCACTCTGGGAGGCCAAGGCAAGAGCATCACTTGAGCCCAAGAGTTCGAGACATGGCTGGACAACATAATGAGACCCCGCCTCTACAAAAAGGAAAAAATTAGCCAGGCTTGGTAGTGCATACCTGTAGTCTCCCAGCTATTTAGGAGGATGAGGTGTGAGGACAGCTTGAGCCTGGGAGGTCAAGGCTACAGTGAGCAGTGATCCTTACCACTGCACTCTAGCCTAGGCAACAGAGGGAGACCCTGTCTCCCTAAATAAATAAATAAAAGGCTATGTATTATTGAGTTGACTATAAGGGACTATTGTCTGATCCTATTATCTTCTCCCTCTCAAATAATTTATTTTATTTATTTTTTTATTTTATTTATTTATTTATTTTTTGAGACAGGGTCTCACTCTGTCGTCCAGGCTGGAGTGCAGTGGTGCGATCTCAGCTCTCTGCACCCTTGACCTCCCGGGCTCAAGAGATCTTCCCACCTCAGACTCCTGAGTCGCCATGTCTGACTATTTTTTGTAGTTTTTGTAGAGACAGGGTTTCACCATGTTGCCCAGGCTGGTCTTGAACCCCTGGGCTCAAGCAGTCCACCTGCCTCAGCCTCCCAAAGTGCTGGGATTACAGGCATGAGCCACCGTGCCCGGCCTCAAATAATCTTTGAATCTCAGTTCTCACTCAACTTTTTCAAACCTCCACAACTCTGAGATGCAGGTACCCTCTTCCAAGCTGCTGAGGGGTTTTGGACTAATGCAGCTAAATCACCAACCAGACCTTCAGCAGTCAGTGCTAGAGACAGAAAATTTTAAAACTGCTTAGTTACATTTTTTTTAACTAGTTTCACTGAAAATAGAGGTAAGGCATAGGAATACTATCCACGTTGTTACTACTATTCGAAAAGAAAAACAATCTAAAAAATAATTCAAGACATTTTATGAATGTCCTAGCTAGTTTCCTTAGATGGGAGCCTTCCTTTCTGTGATTCAAGGCTTAATTCCCTCTCTTCACACCCATCACTTCGCAATGCAGTTACAAGACCATAACTCTGATCTGACCTTTTACCTTCTCATTTCCTGCCAGAACCACTTCATCCTGCTCATTCATCAGTGGTCAAAGTTAAATGCTAAGTCATTTACTTTCAGAGGTTTAGAGCACTGCCTTAGTCACTTCAGGCTGCTATAACAGAGTGCCATAGCCTGGGTAGCTTACAAAAAACAGAAATTTATTTTCCCACAGGTCTGGAGGCTAGAAGTCCAAGATCAGGGGGCCAGTGGGGTCAGGTTCTGGTGAGGGCTCTCTTTCCGATTTCCAGATGGCTATCTTCTCACTGTGTCCTCACATGATGGAAGGGGCTAGACAACTCCCTGGGGCCCGTATTTATAAGGGCACTAATCCCACTCATTATGGCTCTACCTTCATGACTTAATTACCTCCCAAAGGCCCCACCTCCTAATACCATCACTTTGGGTGTTAGGATCAACATATCAACATATCAATTTGGGAAGGGGGGGACATAGACATTCAGTCCATAAAGCACAGTTATATGCCAGTCTCTAATCCACTTTAAGTAAAGCTCCCTCCAAAATAGACCAGTATATTCTCGTTAGATTATGAGGCAAAGTTTGAAGGAAGATTTCTTTGTCTGCTTTCTACCTTTCCTTAAGGAACCTGCCTCCTCTTCCACCATCTGCTAATCCTGCTGCTCATCTAAGCACCCCCACCTATGCCTTACTTTGTCATTCCATTCTTCCCAAATCAACCACCAAAAACTGTAGCATCAAATTCTGCTCCTTCAAGGGCCTATTTGTTAGAAAACTAAAATCATGCTAACGATAGTGGGGACCAATACACTAATGCATTCTTCTCTAGGAGCAGTGATTCACAAATGAGCAGGGGTGGGGTGAGGGAAGGAGAGAGAAGTGCCCCCAGGGGACAACTGGCAATGTCTGCACACATTGTTGGTTGTCACGAATGGGAGTGTGCTACTGTCTGTCATCTACTGGGTAGAGGCCAGAGATGCTGCTGAACATCTCACATTGTACAGGACTGTTGCCCACGACAAAGAATTACCCAATCCAAAGTATCAGTAGTGCTGAGGTTGAGAAAGCCAGCTCTAAGAGGTAATGTATTTTTATTAAAAACTCCTTTGTTCCATAGGTTTCAGTTTAAATTCCAGGCACTGGTCAGGCTGAATGGAGCTGTGTTTTGGAGCAGATAACCATCAAATCACATCCCAAGAAGGTACCTATCTTCCATTCATATATAACTAGTTCTAACTGTCAGAATAAACATTAGCTGAATGACTACTGATGTTTTATTTGGTTGGGGTTTTCTCTTTTTTATGTTTACAATATAAATGTAACCCCCCAAAGATGAGTTTAACAAGAAAAAAAATACTCATTGTCATATTTGCTTCAGATAGATAGATAGATAGATAGATAGATAGATAGATTTTTTTTTTTTTTTTTTTTTCCGAGATGGAGTCTCACTCTGTCTCCCAGGCTGGAGTGCAGTGGTGCAATCTCGGCTCACTACAACCTCTGCCTCCCAGGTTCAAGCGATTCTCCTGCCTCAGCCTCCTGAGTAGCTGAGACTATAGGGGCGCACCACCACGCCCAGTTAATTTTCGTATTTTTAGTAGAGACCGGGTTTCACCATGTTGGCCAGGATGGTCTCGATTTCTTGACCTCGTGATCCGCCCGCCTCAGCCTCCCAAAGTGCTGGGATTACAGGCATGAGCCACTGCGCCCAGCCCAGGTATATTTTAAAGAAAAAAAATTATAAATACAGTTAAAGCCCCTCCTCACCACCTCTTGCTCTCCCTCCTGAAGATAACCTGTCCCAGCCAGGCGCAATATACTGCCCTATAGTATATATAATTTCCATGCATATATTATATATTCACATAAATGTATAGTATCTATTTGTGATTCTAAATTTTAAATAAATGTTATTATACTATATATTTTCTTTTCTCTCAATATGGTTTGAAATTCATCTCCTTTTTCTTTCCATGTAAGTCCAGTTAATTCAGTTTAACTGCTGTACAGTATAAATAAATCAGCTTACATATTAACTTTCCTCCTGATGGATTGTCTCCACATTTTCACTGGTTGTAAACACTTGTAACAAGTCACCTAATACATATATGCTGAGGCTCTGGGTACATTTGATATTTTAGGAGATATAGAATTGTTGGGTTGTCGTGTAATTTTCTGGTCTTTAACTTTCCTAAGTATTGCCAAATTGCTCTCCAAAGTGATTGAACTAAATTTTTATAATATTGTACGTAAAAGAAATACAGATGACTAACCTAACAATCAAACTTTTGCCTTCTACAGAGCTATGTTAAGATGTAAAGATTAAAATGCACAGTACTCTAGTGAGTTTTATCAGAATCAGTTGCTATTAAGTAATTTTTGTTCCAAGAAATAAAACTGCACCCCTGCCCCCACAAAAAACTTTCATATTTCCAACTTAAAGCACTGCAAAAAATTAAAAAATAAATGTTTTTGTGAACCATGACTGAAATTCATTTCAAACAAATCAATTATAAAGACATTTTGAGACTGTTAGGGAAATCTAAATATGGACAATATATTAGATGATATTAAGAAATTATTGTTTGCTAAAGGGATAATAGCATTGTGGTTATTTGAAAAAGTCCTTTATGCATTAAAAGACATGAGATTTTGTATCTAAATTTTAAAACTTTACCAAAAAAATGAGAGCGTTGATAAATGAATCAAGCATGGCAAAATCTCGACAAATGTTGAATCTCGTGATATGGGGCTCATTTACTATTTTCTCTACTTTTGTGTATGTCTGAAAATTGTCATCATCATCATCATCATCATCATCAGACACAATATTCACAAATAGGGATAGACTAATGCAATCAGGGGGACATTTGGCCATGCTAAAGAAAAACTCAGCTGGGTGTGGGGGCTCATGGCTGTAATCCCAGCACTTTGGGAGACGGATGCAGATGGATTGCTTGAGCCCAGGAGTTCAAGACCAGCCTGGGCAACATGGTGAAACCTAGCTGTATATTTTTTCAATTCTTTAAAATATATTTGAAAAAAAAGAAAAAGAAAAACTCAGCTGGGCATGGTGGCTCACACCTGCAATCCTAGCACCTAGGGGGCCGAGGCAGGAGAATCACTTAAGACCATCCTGAGGAGTTCAAGACCATCCTGGGCAACATAGTGAGACCTCATCTCTATTTAAAAATTAAAAAATGGGCTAGGCGTGGTGGCTCACACCTGTAATCCCAACACTTTGGGAGGCTGAGGCAGGTGGATCATTTGAGGTCAGGAGTTTGAGACCAGCCTGGCCAACATGGTGAAACCCCATCTCTACTAAAAATACAAAAATTAGCCAGGTTTGGTGGTGCATGCCTGTAATCCCAGATACTTAGGAGACTGAGGTGGGAGAATCTCTTGAACCCAGGAGGCAGAGGTTTCAGTGAGCCGAAATCACACCACTGCACTCCAGCCTGGGCAACAGAGCCAGACTCCATCTCAATAATAATAACAATAATAATAATAATAAATATATACAAAAATTAGCCAGGCGTGGTGGCACACCCTGTAATTCCAGCTACTCAGGAGGCTGAGGCAGGAGAATTGCTGGAACCCGGGAGGCAGAGGTTGCAGTGAGCCAAGATTGCCCCACTGCACTCTAGCCTGGGTGATAGAGTGAGACCCTGTCTTAAAAAAATAATAATAATATATATTATGTATTAATCATATATATTTCACATACTAATACATAATATTTCATATATATATACATACACACACACACACACACACACACGCAAAATAAAAAAGAAAGCCCCAACCTATAATCCTTCCAACCCCATAACTGAATTATGTTGCTCTCTACAAGTAGCTAGACAAGTTCCTGTATTTTAGCAATAAGATAACCCCATTAGATGCATTACACTTCATATTCTTGAGGGCAACACATACTGGTTTGTATTCACAGAGTTTACACCATAAAATCAAGTTAGCTAATTTAAACTATCAAAAATGGCCTGTCCAAAACAAAATAAGTATATAAAAATATTCCTCAATTTTCTTTTTTTTTTTTTTCAGATGGGTCTCACTATTTTGCCCTGGCTACACTCAAACTCCAGGTCCTCCCCCTTCAGCCTCTCAAGTATCTGGGAGTACAGGCATGCATGATCCCACCTGACTTGATATTTCTCAAACTTCTGTCACAAAATATGATCCCATATTTTCTGTGAATGTATAAGATTTTATTAATGTTCATATAATCAATGTATACAGGATTTCAAGTAGTCAATTGCCTCACAGAAAAAAATTCCCAAAGTAAAATTAGAGGGCCATGTTAGGCAACCTGAATTCTCTCCAAATAGGTATAGCAACCGAAATTTCACCTTAGTACCTTCTCCTTTTTGAGTGTTTAGGTGGGCAAAGGGGCAGAGACTTGGGGGCATGAGATACAAGGCAGAGAGAAATTTAGCACAGGGGCTAAATCAACAGCAGGCCATGAGACCACAGTCTTTGTGTGTGGTGCCGCTGGAGCAGGGCATGGGGTAAGACTTGCAGTGGTTGCATGCACTTTGTGGCCAACAATGCTGAGTCACGCCAGCATCAGCCTCTAAGGGAACAATGCCAAAATGACAAGCCACCGCCTTTATGTATTTGTGGTGTTTATGACTCACTCCCAGGTAAATGCAGGCCTTTATTCATGCTTGGTGACTTTTCATGGTAATCATTTAAAATGTCCTAGTGTCATAATGCAATTAGAGTACAATTCATCTTGAGTCACTAAAATTACATAATTACTAATATTAATCACAATTACTACCAAAGCTATGAGCCGATTCAAACTCCAACCTAACAGCATCATAATCCCTGGAAATCAGATGCCCAAAGAGTAAGGCTGGTGCCTCTTAAAAGTCAAACGATCCTTTGTATATTTAAAACAGGCTAAAATAAAAGTTGCTAGGATCTCAGTCAGACCAAGTCCCAGGGTCCAAGGAGATGCATTTGTCCTATGGCTGGAGCAACCAAAGCACAGCTGATAAAAAGAAGCAAACGAGCCATTATTCCTGTATTTTCTTGTCCTAGCCTTCTATGCTGTGGCTCTAGCACTTCTGCTTTCAGGGGACAAAACTAGGGTAGAAGGGTAACTATAACCTCCACTGAAGTTTAATGCTCAGAATAACAGAGTTACTTGAAGTGGGGAAAAAGATTTACCTTTTTCTTTGTGTTAACAATGAGGAAAAGTCCTTAAGCTTAGAAGAGTAAGATATGGCCCGGCACTATGGCTTATGGCTGTAATCCCAGCACTTTGGGAGGCTGAGGCAGGAGGATTGCTTGAGGCCAGGAATTTGGCACAATACAGCCAGACCCCATCTCAAAAAAAAAAAAAAAAAGGGAAGAAGAAGAGGAAGGTGAAAGTGCAATAACAGAGCTTCTTAACGAGATTTACCCATAATCATATCTGAAGTTCAACAAATTAAATAGCTTTTAAATAAAAGACACAGCAGAATATGGCTAAAGACAGAAGATAATTATTTAACCACAAAGATAATAATTTGCCTAGGCTCAGCTTTCAGTTGGCTTATTCAATAAAAGCACAGAAGAAATACAATGCAAGAGGGATTTAACTGGGAAGGGAGACTTGAAATGCATTTCAAAAAAAAAAATGTGTTTCACTAAATGAAAGAGCAGCAGAGGCCAGGCGCAGTAGCTCACGCCTGTAATCCCAGCACTTTGGGAGGCCGAGGTGGGCAGATCACAAGGTCAGGAGATCGAGACCATCCTGGCTAACACGGTGAAACCCCGTCTCTACTAAAAATACAAAAAATTAGCTGGGCGTGGTGGCGGGCACCTGTAGTCCCAGCTACTCGGGAGGCTGAGGCAGGAGAATGGCGTGAATCTGGGAGGCGGAGCTTGCAGTGAGCCGAGATCCCGCCACTGCACTCCAGCCTGGGTGACAGAGCAAGACTCCATCTCAAAAAAAAAAAAAAAAAAAAAAAAGAGCAGTAGAAGGAAGTTTTTCAGTGCAGAAAATAAGCATAACTCTCCCTCTCAGCTCCTCAAAATCTATTTTCAGGACTATATCATTCAGACACACCTCAAAATTGTACCCACACTCCTGGGGTCCTTGGCCTGCCTGTGACCCTTGCCTAAACTTTGGTACAGAGACATGGTGCTCTCAAGGCCAAAAACTGCACCAGCCAAGCACACAAGTACTCAATGTTTCATCATCACCCTCTATCAGTCTGTCTAGGATTGTGACACTACTTCTCAGATGACTCCAAATACTAGTATGTATCAACAGGGCACACACCCCTTACTTAATACCCCTGGTACTAAGTACCCCTGGATACCCAAGCACGAAATCAGGAGGGGAGCAAAGTTGCATACCATGCACAGCTGTGGGATTAGCAGAGACGAAAGCAGTACATATCAGAGCCGAAATTAGATCTCACACTGTCCTTTGCTTATGCACCTATTTCAGTATTTATCACAGTGGTCTGTCCAATGCCTATCTCCCCACAGGGACTATGTCTTAATCAACTTTGGATCCTTTGTCAGCCCTACATGTTGCAGTTGTTCAATAACTGTGAGAGTCAATTTCCAATTTAACAGGCTACAAGGAAGGGTAGACACTCTGAATGAAATATGACAAATTTTGCGGGTATCAGCATTACTCTAAAATACTATGATTTCTATTTTCTCCTCCTGTTCACTTCCATTCTTTCCTGGAGACACCATAGAAAAGACAAAGATCAAAAACAGAAAAAGCAGATATTTGACAAAGATTATAATAAAAATAGTAATCCAACAAGTATAAATATTCAAAAAGTTCTCATTTCTGTATAGGCAAAAAAAAAAAAAAAACTAAATCCACGCTACTAGACCCTCTCATCTACTGATTTTTTAATCCCATCACCTGCCAAATTGAAATACTTTGTGTCCTTTAAAACTCATGGCTGGGCCGGGTGCAATGGCTGATGCCTGTAATCCCAGCACTTTGGGAGGCCGAGGTGGGAGGATCGCTTGAGGTCAGTAGTTTGAGACCAGCCTGGCCAACATGGTGAAACCCCTTCTCTACTAAAAATACAAAAATTAGCCAGGCATGGTGGCGCACGCCTGTAGTCCCAGCTACTCAGGAGGCTGAGACAGGAAAATCACTTGAACCTGGGAGGCAGAGGTTACAGTGAGCCGACATCTCGCCACCGCACTCCAGCCTGGGGGACAGAGGGAGACTTTGTCTCAAAAGCAGAAAATTTAATTAATTTAATTTAATTTAAATAAGAAAATTAAATTAAATTAAAATTCATGGCCCAAAACATGTACCACAATCACCCCAATCTATTAAGGCCCACTGATTTTCTCTCAAGATCAACAGCTCAGAGTCTCACCAAGCACAACAGAAAACCAGCAACAAAGTTTGTTCTTTCCTTAAATCATAAGGACATACATTTTTTAATGAACCAGAATAATTTTTTTAAATGATAGAGCTGCTATATTTCAGAGAAGGTATCTGGCAATTAAAAAAAGGATAAAATATAGCCAGAAATATCCGGACTTGGTAAAAATGTGATTGGTGATAATATTTGGGTGTTTAAGTATACACCATGAAGCTCTACTAGTTGCTTCAATCATTTGAAAATCATAATCCAATTATACAAAAATACTCCAATGTTTTCAAATATTTTGTTATTTCCAAAACTCACTATAGAATACAATTTCTACAATTCCTTTTAGAAAAGCTTCCAGAAGATAAATTCCTTCCAGTAAAGTATTTGATAGTTTGACTTTTTTTTTTTTTTAAATGAGGTCTCACTGTATTGCCCAGGCCAGAGTGCAGTGGCATGATCACAGCTCACTACAGCCTCAACTTCCAGGGTTCAAGTGATCCTCCCACCTCAGGACCCCACTCTGAGTAGCTGGGACTACAGGTGCGCACCACCACACTCAGCTAATTTTTGTATTTTTTGTAGAGACAGGGTTTCGCCATGTTGCCCAGGCTGGTCTTGAACTCCTGAGCCCAAGCGATCTGCCGGCCTCAGCCTCCCACAGTGCTGGGATTATAGGCGTGAGCCACTGCACCTGGTCAAGCATGTTTCTTTATTGCAGGACTTTTCTGAGCCTTTATTAGTAGGCACTAATACTCTCCAAAGGCAAGTATAGTATGTGATGATTCCTAAACTTATTTCACGAGAAAATTATTTTTTATTTCATGTATTACCAATTAGCCTTCAGCAGAAAAGAGTACTTTGAGGAACATACTTTGAGAATCACAAGTTGGTTAACGAAACCTCAATAATAGGTTTTAACTCCCAGGAACTCCCATTAGCCTTTTTCTTTCTTTTTTTTTTTCTTTTGGCCATCGACTACATCTTTAAAACCACGGACAGCCATCTTCAAATACATGCCCTTAGAAAGGAAAACAATACCTATAAGAACATATAGATGAGCTAACACATATTACCACCTTTACAATAAAAAGTCCATGAAAACTCTGGCAGCTGCAATTTTACACTGACAGAATTATGAAAGATCCAAACCCTATAGAACACACTGCTCTCTGCATATTTCAAGTTCAAATTGGGTAGGTTTACATCCACCCAATTTAAATATGGTAACAATCATAATGAAAAGGAAAACTCACCAACAGAAGCAGAGTTTTTAAGAATCGACTCCTTTGGGGTTCCTTTTTCAATTCGTATTGTGGCCCACTGTTCAAAAACAAGAAATATTAATTTAAACTGTCCCACAGACACAACATAAAACACTTCAACCATGATTATACAGAAGTGAAATTACACATCAAGCTCTGGCAGTGTCTGAACTAAAGAGCTAACCCCAGGGAATCTCTGATATAGCAATATTCCAAGTCCCAAGTATACTTTTATATCACTTACTGATAATACCCTAATAAAATGTGGAAAGGACAATATTTACCCTTTCTCAACTGCCTCACATGCATTGGTGACCTGATAAATTACTCCTTGAAAAGGCTGTGAAGCATGGGGGGCATGAGTACAGGTCACGGCATCAAGAATGTCTGGGTTTGAAATTACTTATTCCCTATAGGCCTCCGTTTCCTCATTGTAAAACAAGGATAATAGATCCTATCCCATAGGGTTGCTGTCACATTAAACAAGATGACACATGTAAGGGCCTAAACGTAGGGCGTAAAGTGTAACAATTATTTTCACAACAAATTAGACATTCAGGGGTAGGACACGCTCAAAGATGCATCAGAAATAAGCTTGCAGAAAGAGGCAGCACAGACTTGGAAAGCTGGAAAGGACTCGATGAAATCATTAACTAAGGCACGATTGGCTCATGCCTGTAATCCCAGCACTTTGGGAGGCCGAGGAGGGTGGATCACTTGAGGTCAGGAGTTCAAGACTAGCCTGGCCAACATGGCGAAACCCCATCTCTACTAAAAATACAAAAATTAGCCAGGCATGGTGACGCATGCCTGTAATCCTAGCTACTCTGGAGGCTGAAACAGAATTGCTTGAACCAGGGAGGAAGAAGGTGCAGTGAGCAGAGATCGGGCACCTGCACTCCAGTCTAGGCAACAGAGTGAGACTCTCTCAAAAAAACAAAAAAACAAAAAAAAAGAATGAAAAAGAAATCATGAACTACGGAAAATGATCTGTCCACATGGTTACTTATGAAGATGCATAGGAAAATGTTACAATTATGAAGATCTACAGATTTGAGGGAATTTAAGAACTGGAAAACAACTCTCACTTTGTTTTGAATATACCTAGGAGTATAAAGAAACGTACCCAGATGTGATTTTTTTATTTTTTTCTTTATACATTTTTTACACATTTCCCAAATTATTCACTATTAACATCATAGTTCAAAAACTGCTAGTGAACTTTTCAAGTCTCTCATTCTAGAGAATCCCAAGGGCTTTTATACTAAAAAGTACTGTAATAATTATTATTGAACATAAGCACCCTTGAAGGGGCAGAGACAAAATTTTTTTTTTTTGAGACAGGGGCTTGCTGCTGCCTTGACCTCCCAGGCTGAAGCAATCCTCCCACCTCAGCCTCCTGACTAGCTGGGACCACAGGCCCGCATCATCATTCCCAGCTAATTTTTGTATTTTTTGTAAAAACCGGGTTTCACCTTGTCGACCAGACTGTACTCAAACTCCTGAGCTCAGCAATCTACTGGCTTCAGCCTCCCAAAGTGCTGGGATTACAGGCGTGAGCTAACATTTTATATTTTATTTTATTTTACTTTTTGAGAAGGAGTTTTCGCTCTTGTTACCCAGGCTGGAGTCCAATGGCATGATCTCGGCTCACTGCAATCTCCACCTCCAGGGTTCAAGCGATTCTCCTGCCTCAGCCTCCCAAGTAGCTGGGACAACAGGCACCCACCACCAGGCCCAGCCAATTTTTGTATTTTTAGTAGAGATGGGGTTTCACTATGTTGTCCAGTGTGGTCTCGAACTGCTGACCTCAGGTGAGCCATCTGCCTCGGCCTCCCAAAGTGCTGGGATTATAGGTGTGACCCACTGCACCCAGCCCAGAGACAGATTTATTAATATGCCAAGTCAAAAACCTCAGTTATTGCTAAGCTCAAAAGAGTCTGTTGACTAGAGAGGTTAAAATTTTTTTCAAATAAATAAGAACATAACTGATAGAGAATAAATAACCTAAAACGTACATCAAGGTCAGGGAGTAACGCATGATATCTGACTACGTCAGGACCCCTTCAAAACAACCCACAGAGCCAAACAAGAACATGCCATTTGCACTTAGAGAACAGCCTATAAATAGAGGCCAATCTCCCAACTTCCAGTGACAAGTGACTAAATCATAAGACTCGGTCTTAATCTGATTGCATCCTGTTATCTTTTGCGGATTTAGTGCAGGAGTTCTCAAACTCTGGACTAATACCACTCAGCTTTTCTCAACTGAGGTAACTGTTTCCATAGTTTTTTACTTAAAGCTTTAGTGCCTATTATCATTTGTAAGTAAACCAGATATGATTAAAATAAAATTTTGTAAACAATCATTGTTAATCTCAGACTCACTTTTTTTCACTGTGGGCAAGTGATTTTATATTTTATACAAATAGTAGTTATCTTAGACTAGAACCATTATTCCATGCTCATATGATGGAAAATGCTGGTATTCCGTGCCTGTTATGGGCTGAATTATGTCCCTCCGAAATTCATATGTTGAAGCTCTAACCCCCAGTACCTCAGAATGTGACTATATTTAGATAGGGTCTTTAAAGAGTGACTAAGTTAAAAAGAAGCCCTTAGGGTGGGCCCTAATCCAATCTGACTGATGTCCTTGTAAGAAGAGGAAACTTGGACATGCAAATAGACACAAGGATGTGAGCACAGAGAGAAAGGGCCACGTGAGGATACTACTACACCTTCTTGCTGGAAGGCGGCCACATCCAAGCCTAGGAGAGAGGCCTCAGAATGAGGCTAAACCTGCTGACATCTAGATCTTGAACCTCTAGCTACAAGAACTGAGAAAATAAATTTCTGTTGTTTAGGCCACCAGTCTGTGGTACTTTGTTATGGCAGCTCCAGCAAACTAATACAGTGATATTCCTCAAATAGCATGATCTGCTCAAAAGCACTCCATGTTTTGGCACCAGACAAGTTTCAGAATGCATTCCATCTCCTGAAATGATAGCTCTAAAGGTCTACCCTGCATAACACAATTACTGTGTTAAGATAAGCAAATTTTAGGCCAGACACTGTGGCTCATGCCTATAATCACAATACTTTGGGAGGCCAAGGCAGGAAAATCCCTTGAGTCCAGGAGTTCGAACCAATCTGGGCATCAGGGTGAAACCTTGTCTCTACAAAAAAAAAAAAAAAAAAAAGGTTTTAAATTAGTTGGGCATGGTGGTACACGTCTGTGGGCCCAGCCACTCAGGAGGATTGCTTGAGCTCAGGAGGTCGAGGCTACAGTGAGCTGTCATCATGACACTGCACTCCAGGCTAGGTGACAGGGAGACCCTGCCTCAAAAAAAAAAAAGATATGCAAAGTTTAAGTTTAAGGTTGAAAAAGCAGACATTTAGTGCCTAAGGGAATTTGCACTAGAAAACCCTTTTCTTCTACAGGTTGATGCCCGGTGAAAGTAAAAACATGCCTGTGCCTTGCAGCTAGATAGATATAGATTTGAATTGCAATTCTGCCACTTCCTGGCTGTAATCATCTCAGACATCAGACAAGAGACTTTAACGTCTTGGGGCATCCATTTCATCATCTCTAAAACAGGGACAAAGCCAGGCATGGTGGTTCATGCCTGTAATCCCAGCACTTTAGGAAGCCAAGGCGGGCAGATCGCTTGAGGACAAGAGTCGGAGACCAGCCTGACCAACATAGTGAAACCCCATCTCTATTGAAAATACAAAAATTAGCCAGGCATGGTGGCTCCTGCCTGTAATCCCAGCTACTTAGGAGGCTGAGGCAGGAGAATCACTTGAATCCGGGAGGGGGAGGTTGCAGTGAGCCAAGATTGTGCCACTGCACTCCATCCAGCCTGGGTGACAGAGCGAGGCTCTGTCTCACAAAAAGAAATAAAATAAAATAAAAATAAAACAGGGACAATACCAAGGGTGGCCATAAAGGCCAAAAGAGATAATGTAGCTGCTGCCTACCACACAGTAGGCCACAAAGTAGCCTCCTCTTCCCTATATTCCATATTTTAGGCCTCTGCAATGGCCAGTTTTTTCCAGACTGTCCAGTGCTTCTCCCCATAAATAGCTATTTCTCTTTTACCATGCCAGCTTCTCTAGCCAATCAGATCCACCCAAATACAAAGACAGAATATCTCTTTCAGATGTTCTGAATCTCTTACAGGGGTATCTCAGAACATATCTGTCTCAAGGCATCACAAAAGAGGCAGCTCTGTCAGCGAAATGGTCCTAAAGTACAAAAGTGGCTTCTAACAACCCACATTCTCTGCCCCCCAAGGAAAGTTGAAAGATACTTATCAACCAAGTTCTCTTTCCACCTAATTTCCAAATCCTCTTGGAGGGAAAAAGGTAGCTGTCCAAAATTCACCAAAAAGAAATGGCTTTAAGTCTGATTTCTTTTTTTTTTTTTTTTTTTTTTAGATGGAGTCTTGCTCTGTCACCCAGGCTAGAGCGCAGTGGCGTGATCTTGGCTCACTGTAGCCTCTGCCTCCCGGGTTCAAGTGATTCTCAGCCTCAGCCTCCTGAGCAGCTGGGATTACAGGTGCACACCACCATGCTTGGCTAATTTTTGTATTTTTAGTAGAGATGGGGTTTTACCATGTTGGCTAGGCCGGTCTCAAATTCCTAATCTCAAGTGATCCACCTGCCTCGGCTTCCCAAAGTGCTGGGATTACAGGCGTGAGCCACCGCACCTGGCCAAGTTTTACTCTTCATAATTTGTATTCCTAAAACAATTTTCTCGACTATAAAGCTGTAATATTAACATACGTATCCAACAAATTATCATATATCCCTTGAAAATCACTGGCTTGGAGAATCACTAAACTTATTCCAAGCTAAGTATTCAAGGCTTATCCTCAAGTATCTTGCCATATCAGTGACTTACGCATACATCTAGAGATACCCAGCAATGCAGAAGAAAATAGAAGTAGGTGCTCAATAAATGATAATTACTTGAACCAGTGGGTTAAGAAGGAGTCAGAGAAGAGCATAAAGTTCAGTGAGTTAACAAGTAACAATTACCAAAATCAGCAATTTAGAGGGTACCCTACACACATTTCAACTTCTAGAATTTGAGTTTATTGTCATGAGAAAGTCACCCATTGACAGTAAAACTTGTCAAAGTAAACATATAATAGACAAAACTAAATGATCTTTTTAAATGGTACATAAATTATAAGCAAAGAAACTTGAGAAATATCCAATTATGATCAGAGCCCAAAGAATATTCTTGGGAATGAAATGTAAAGAAAAATACAACTAAATCAATTAAGAATTTACCAAGGAGTGATACAAGGGCTAGGCCTTGAATGCAATCTACAGAAAGGCAGGGTATTTGGCCAGCACTGAAGATGTTCTAATGCTAAACATCAGCATAATCCCTTAAGGAATTATTCCTATAGTTGAGAAAAGCAATCCACCGTATTAACCCCAGTCTAACAGAAATGTCTTTGAAACATCTAACACTGTTCTAGTTGAAGGATAGAGGATCCTGGGTTACTGTTCTCCTGCACCTAAAGCAGAAATCACTATGGGATCACAGCTCTCTTTCCTGATGAGCTCAGATGCTCCCAAACATAGGAGTTCCAGGCAGCCGCAACCAACAAATCAGAGCTGGCTCACACAATGAATCTGTATTCAAATTCCACATATATCAAGCATCTCTTTGACCTAATAACTTAGTCTCAGCAGACAGGGTGGGTTCCTGATGTGTCACCTACCTGGTTTCCAAGTTATCTGGTTTCTCCCACCAGAATTAGAAAACTGGCATTCTTGTCAGTTTGATTGACAAGGAGTTCAGCTCTGGAGTTATCCAGAAGGACAAAAATTAAAATCTCTGGCCTGTCAAACTGAAAGTCAGATCCTGGACTGGAGATCATCCTATCAGGTATAATAATTTGCCAGGCTGACAGCAACTAGCTGGCCTCCGTCCTTAGCTGACCTTGAGTTACTAAAGAAAAACAGACAGAAGTGAGCCCCTGGAAGCCAGTGGGTGTGATTTACCTTTACACCATTCTTACACAGGGTATAAATTCCAAAAGACATTGCTGTATGAGAGAGCAGTTCAATCATTTCAGAGTTCAGAGAAAGAGGGAACACCAGCTGAAGAGGATCATCTGCTATGGGAGAGGATTCTGAAGATCTCACATTAGGAAGCAGTCAAGAAATTCACAGCATAATGTGACCAAGCTCAGAATGTAAAGTCAATAAGAAGAGTTCAAAACTGAGAAATAGCTCCCAAGTAGAAACAGTAGAACTTTAAAAACATGAGCACTGAGGATGAAGAATCACATACAACTTCAAAGTCTAGGCAAAGAAATAGCCACAAACAAGAGTCTAGGGCAATACAGGAGGCTAGCAAGTACAAGACAATGTCCAGTGGGTTAGAGATGTATACCTGGGAGCCACCCAATTAGCTGAGAAAGAAGAGCAGATAAAGCCACGTCCTAAGGGCAGAGAGAAAACAGGTCACAAAAATGGGAACCAAACTTATTAGAAGGCACTGTGGAATGCCAGAATCTCAGTAATCATATTATTCTTTTAATAGCAACAAGCATTCATACAGTAGGTGCAGGCAGCCTTCTAAGGTGCTTGATACCTTTTAACTCATTTGAACAACCCTATGGAAATAGGAGTTATTGTTACTCCTATTTTATAGATACAGAAAATGAGGCACAAGAGTAGATGACCTCCCTAAGGTCACATTTTGAGAAACAGAGCTACAATTTTGGTACCAAATCTAAGCAAACCTGTATCCAGGGTCCCTAATCCTAACCACTAGGCTGCAGGGCCTCTTCTCAGTTGAGATGCCTGTTTCTGGCCAGGCGTGGGGCTCACACCTTTAATCCCAGCACTTTGGGAGGTGACGGCAGGAAGATTGCTTGAGGCCAGGAGTTCAAGACCAGCCTAGCCAAGATAGCAAGACCCTGTCTCTTATGTTAAATATACACACACACACACACACACACACACACACACACATATTATACATATAATTAAATTTTTTTTTAAAAAAAGACTCCTGCTTCTAACACTTAATTCAAAGAAACCACTGATCTCTGACTCTCAGTTTCCCTCTCTGTAAAAGGGGGTTGGCACTTGCCCTCCCTACCCTACCCAGCCTTTTGACACTTAATAAAACCCTAAGAGTAAGCTGCAGTTGTTCTCTACCAGGCCTACTTCCATCTAACATTTTTCTTTGCAGGATTTGGAAACAGGAGGGTAGGGAGACCTGAGGTCAAAGAATATATACCTTTTCAATGGCATTTCAAGTGCTGTTGGTTAGATAAAATTTCCATGACTCCACTAAAATAAAATAAGATTTCTTTCTGCCATCCAGCAATTGGTCTCTTATCTTGGGCATAAAGAAGAACATGATGCCTTTCTGAACTGGATGCCTTAGTACACAAAAGGACCTCTGAAACCTGGGGCTGTAAAAACAAGCGGGTGAAGCGGAAACTGCACTGCATAATGGATATAAGCAAATCCTCTGATACAAAAAGTTGGTCGCATTGTTGTTATTCTAATCAGTAAAATAATAACGATGCTCAGGGAGTGGAATGATTTTTTCGCCTTCGACCAGAGAAACAACAGAGTGGTCCAGTGGTTCCAGCCTAGATCCCTCCAGCTCCGCGAAAGAAGCCGAGATGCTGACTTTCGCACTGCTGCGGGCAAGGAACAGAAATGCACGCACGCATGCACACGCGCGCACACACACCCCTGACTCGCGACCACTGACCTTGAGAACTGGACCCCCGGGTTCTCAGCCCGCAGCGGTGTGGGGCTGGCTGCATCCCTCCCGGCACTCACCTCTAAAGTTTTCACTAGGATCTTCATGTAGATCTCGGAGATGCCCAGAGACACTCCGAAGACCGAAGGTAAAAGGATGAAGCCGAGAACCAGCGTCAGCCAGGTGGAAAGGATCTTCCCGGCCAGCTCTGCGCCCTCCATGACTCGGCGCACCCACTCAGGAGAGGTCCGCAGTGGAGGGCCGAGCGCCACAGCAGTCCCTGTCCCCAGGCAGTCCCGCGGGAGCTCCAGGAGCAGAGCGCCGAGCCCGGCACTCACCTCTGCGAAGGGAAGAGAGGAAGGAAAAAAACTTTCAGAATTACGGCAATATCCTTCCTTCCTCCCTGGGCTCCTCCTCGCCCCTGCCAGTTAACTCTTTCTCCGCTGGCTGCCCAGGTCTGGGCTGAAGCCACCGCGGCGTGCGGAGACCTGGGTAGCGCGAGCCAGTGGTCGGAGCTGCGGGTAAGCGGAGGCACACCGCGGCGCGGGCAGAGCGCGCGAGCGCAGCCAGGAACCCGCCCCGCCCGGTGCCTGATTTCCTCTGGGTGGCGATTGCGACAACTCAGCAGATGACTCACGGAGGCCCTCCCCGAGCCAGGTTCCCTGCGGGAGCACCGCACTTTGGCACACCGGTCGCCGGCGGAGCTGGCACCGGGCCGCGGGCTGTGCTGGAAGCTGGCTGCGCTCGGGCGCCCAGCGCCCTATTTCTGCGCGCTGCCCTCGCCCCACCTCCTCCGTCACCCAACGGGGGAGCTCCCTGGCAGTACTTAGCCCAGGAGTGCCGCAGCCTCCTGGGCGGTCTCCGTTCTTCCCCGCGCCCCGCCTCCCCCAGCACTCAGCAAAGGTCCTTTCAGGAGGAGAGTTTTCATCTGAAAAATGTCAATATTTTCTTCACCCGCAGAATGAACTGCTGACGTATCTGGGACGCTTGAGGTCTTGTTTGTGTGGGTGTAAAACGAACTCTTGGAAAGGGCTTCCAAGGACAGGAAAACGCAGAGCGCACCACGCAGCCGTGTACGCCGCTTCTGGCTTCCACACCTCCTTCCCCACATGGCCTACAGCTGTGGGGCTCAATCTTGCTTATCCCGAGAGTAGGAAGCTCTCTCCACGCGTTGCCTAGCCCACTGAGCCGCCATCTCCCTGGCACAGAAACCCTGCGGCTAAGTATCTGTCACTCCCTTTCTGGGGGAAGATTCCAACCACACCTTCCCCTACCATTCAGCCAATACTATCCGCGCTTAGGCGTAGCAGAAATGCCAGGCCGGCGCAAGCCTTCATTCACCAAGCTGACAGGTGTCTCCTGGGTGTTCAGGCTCCGCGCTTCTACCGCGCCAGCCCTTATCAGAGCAACGAAGGGCAAAACCCTGTATGTTATTTACTACATTGCTGTTCTCTTAGAGACCAGAACTATTTTTAAGAATGAGCAGAAGGGATTTTGAGAAGGGATTTTCCAGATTGCCGCTGAATTCGACCAAAATCTCTTACAGGTACTTTTCAGGTGTTGTTTCAAGCTGGAAAAAAACTGAGAGGGCCAGCAAACTGAATTGAAACAGCGCTGATAGCAAATATTGCAGAGAAAATGGTCCCTGCCCAGGGTGTGGAGGAAGTGGGGAGCCAACGAAGTGACAAGCCCCTCTGTAAAGAATGTAGATGTCTGCCTTAAGTACTTACTGCCAGGTAGCTGTCACAAGCCCCCTCCCACACTAAGAACGGAAAAAATTATAACTTGATGATTAAAACCAGGTTATGGACCGGGCGCGGTGGCTCACGCCTGTAATCCCAGCACTCTGGGAGGCGAGGCGGGCAGATCATCTGAGGTTAGGAGTTCAACACCAGCCTGGCCAACATGGCGAAACCCCCGTCTCTACTAAAAATACAAAAAAATTAGCCCCGCGTGGTGTCGCACGCCTGTAGTCCCAGCTACTCAGGAGGCTGAGGCAGGAGAATCACTTGAACCCGGGAGGAGGAGGTTGCAGTGAGCCGAGATCGTGCCACTGCACTGCAGCCTGGGAGACAGAGTGAGACTCAGTCTAAAAAAAAAAAAAAAGGGTTATGAATGAAGAAGTGTTAGGAGCTTGGTTTCTCAAAATTAAACCTCTGTAAGGTTGGCTAGTTTAGAAAAACACGGAAAACGCAACTACCGAAAGCTGCCCAAAGTCCTTGCTTTCAAACACTATATATATTGAGTGCAAAACTTCAAATATTATATTGGCATATTTAACACCATATGTTCAGGCAAAACTCTTATTTTCCTTTTATTTCCTCAAACCAAGATAACTAAGGAAGGCTAAATCCTTGTACCAAAGTTTACCCCACAAGGGAGATAATACACACAACTTTGCGTGTGCTGAGTGCACACACTCTCCAGTGATTTTTGGTGCTCATGAACAAACTCCACAAAATGGTTTTGGTTTGGTTTTGTTTTAACTGTTACGGAAGAATTATTCGTCCACAGCTGTATGGTGCAATGGTAATAAAATGGAATTTGGAGTCTTCGATTGAGAGCAGCACGAACACATATAAGTTTGAGCAAGTGCTTCTGTGCTTCACCTTTCTCATCAGGAAGATGGGTTCTTCTCAGGGTTGAAAGTGATTGTGAGCATGAAACTGCATGGTAAATGACAAAGCTCTATGCAGAGATCAGCAGGCAGCCTGGTGCAAGGGCAAAAACTCTTCATCTTTTTCTTGCCTAAAAGGCAGGAGAGCCAACACAGGCTCCCCAGGGTAACAAAGGCTCATCTTTGCAGTGATGGAGGAGGGTGAGGGAAGAGAAGAAATGTAGGGTGATCCTGACCCTGTCTCAAGTCGGGGAAAGTTGGTCCCGACTTGCCGCTCTCCTTGTCTCTCTTTCACTCTCCTCACCTCTCCTCCCTCCTCCATTCCTTGAGACTTAAACCTAGGTAGGAACCTACTTTCTCCGTCCCTGAAGTCAAGACCCCCTTTACTTACTGTATTTGTTTCCTAGGGATGCCTTCACAAATCACCACAAATTTAAGGACTTAACACAACAGAAATTGATTCTCTCAGTTCTGGAGACCAGAAGTGTGAAATCAAGGTGTCTGTCTGTAAGGTCACACTCCCTCCAAAAACTGTAGAGGAGAATCTTCCAGCTTCTGGTGGATCCCAGCATTCTTTGGTTTGTGGCAGCACACACATCTCTGCCTCAGTCTTCACATGACCTTCCTGTCTCTTCTTCCCATCTTTTCTTTTACAAAGACACATTATTCTGGATTTAGGGCCCACCCTCATCCAGGATGATCTAATCTTGAGATTCTTCCCTGAATTAAACTTAATCTGCAAAGACCCTTTTTCCAAATAAGGTCATATCCATAGTTAGGGGTGTTAGGACTTGGACATACCTTTTGGGGAAGGTGCAATTCAACCCGTTATAATTACCATCTCTGTAAAATGAGGATAATAACACCTACCTGCAGAGGTTGTTATTGGGATTGGAGAGTATGTATTAAATGGTAGTTGATAGTCAATGCTTAGTAATGAATTTATCCATAATCCTGTTTTTTTACCTATTAATCCAGGCATGTATATATATACATGCCTCCCCAAAAGATATGTCCAAGTCCTAACACCCGTAACTATGAATATATATACACACCTGTATATATATACACTTACACACCTGTGTGTATATGTACACATATATATACATACATATGTGTATATATGTGTATATATATGCATATATATACACATATGTATATATATGTGTGTATATATATATACACACAAACAGCTGATCTCTACATATATATGTATGTACAGGTGTGTATGTATATATATATACAGGAGTGTGTGTATATATACACATATACATATATACATATATAATACACACATATTATATATATTATATGTACACACGTATACTATATATACAGTATATACATACAGTATATATACATACATTGTATATATACTGTATGTATAGTATGTATGTATATATACACATATATAGTGTATATATAAGTGTGTATATACATATAGTATACTGTATATATATACATACTGTATATATGCAAAGCTCTATGCAGAGATCAGCAGGCAGCCTGGTGCAAGGGCAAAAACTCTCCATCTTTTTCTTGCCTTAATCTGCAAAGACCCTTTTTCCAAATAAGGTCATATCCATAGCGGGGAGATCACCTGCCTCGGCCTCCCAAAGTGCTAGGATTATAGGCTACGTGTATGTGTGTGTGTGTATACATATATATATATATATATATTTTTTTTTTTTTTCATGACAGCCTCAGGAGGTCCTGACGACATGTACCCTACTGCACTCCAGCCTGGGCAACAGAAGAAGACCCTGTATAAAAAGCAAAAAAAAAACCCATTGAGGTCCAGCTAAGTGTATGGATATCAAAGCAAAAATAATTGATTCCAAACAGCTGCCCTTACCTGTTAACTCATTGTGTTATTCAAGTCTTCTTCAAGCCTCTGCTTTTACAGCAATTGTGGCCAATGTGAACAGAATTTAGGCTAAAAAACTTTGAGCAGTTGTCAATATTGTCATGAATAGAAGCCTATGGCAAATAATACGTCATAGCTGAAGCCAAACAAAGACTATTCGTTCAATTTAAAAGGTATGGTAGAACTCAGAAGTCTGGGGGTGAAGCAGACTTTTGAAGTACTTTATTCAACAGACAAGTTGCATTGCTTATCTCCAGTATCTTTATAAAATCTTTCTTTTCTCTGGTTTTATTTCACACATTTCTTGAGCTTTCATTATATCCTGCCTTGGTTTGTGTATTAGATGAATTTTCCCACTGTGAACTCATTGCTTGATATCAGAAGCTACAGCATTCATCATACCTTTCTGCCTGTTATTCTACCCCTTTTCCACCTGCACAGAATTTCACTTCTTGACACACCCTTGTTTAAAGCCAGCAGCAACTTCTGTAAAAGAAAAACTTCAGCCAAATTAAATTTAAAGGAGTTTAATTGAGCAATGAACAATTCACGAATCGGGCAGCTCCCAGAATCACAGCAGATTCACAGAGACTCCAGGGGTGCCTCATGGTCAGAAACAATTTATAGACAAAAAAAGTAAAGTGATGTACAGGAACAGAACAGCTAGATTGGTTACAGGTTGGTGTTTGCCTTATTTGAACACAGTTTGAACACTCAGCAGTCTATGAGTGGTTAAAGTATGACTCCTGGGATTGGCCAACACTCAGCTATTGTTACAGGCACATACTCTTTTTTTTTTTTTTTTTTTTTTTTTTTAGAGACGGTGTCTTGCTCTGTTGCCCAGGGTGGAGTGCAGTGGCATGATCTCAGCTCACTGCAACCTCCGCCTCCCAGGTTCCAATGATTCTCCTGCCTCAGCCTCCCAGGTAGCTGGGATTACAGGCAGGCGCCACCACGCCCAGCTAATTTTTGTACTTTTGATAGAGACGGGGTTTCACCATGTTGGTCAGGCTGGTCTCAAACTCCTGACCTCAGGTGATCTGCCTGCCTTAGCCTCCCAAAGTGCTGGGGTTACAGGTGTGAGCCACCACGCTGGCCAGGTGCATACTCTTAAGTTAGGTTTTTCGATCTTGTCTGCCTATTAAGTTAGGTTGCAGTTCATCCACAAGGACTCAAATATAGAAGCACAGAGTCCTTCTCAGACCATATTTAGTTACTTTAACGCTCTCTAATAGCCAGAAGTTAAAGCTGAAATACTGAACATCTTAGGTTAGATCTGGAAGCATTCCACAGTCTGCATCCAACCCAATTTTCATCACATGCCAAAAAAAATCTTTCCCACCTTCTGTTTTATGCAGGGTTTCTTCTTCTCTGGGTCTTTGGTCACATCCCAGTGCTTCCCCCAGCGCACATACACACACACCTGTCTCCTGTTCTCATCCACATCCCTCACTTCACAGGTCAGGGATCCATCATGGAGATCCTACCAGTTGCTGAGTATGTCTATTCCAATTTTGCATTCCAGGACTGGGAAAATAACCACAGGATGGGTTCAAAGATTCACTGGGCCCAATATAAGATGGACCTGAGATAAAACTCCATTGATCACCTGCCCTACATAAGCTCCTAGTTTTACTTGTGAACCAGGATGACATGCTCCCACTTCCTTCACGTCATTCCCACACAATTCTCTAGATTTCTTTCAGCATACTTTGCAAAAAAATATGCAGTTCTTTGGCCAGGCACAGTGGCTCACCCCTGTAATCCCAGCACTTTGGGAGGCCGAGGTGGGTGGATCACCTGAGGTCAGGAGTTCGAGACCAGCCTGACCAACAGGAGTAACCCCGTCTCTACTAAAATACAAAAATTAGCCGGGCGTGGTGGCACATGCCTGTAGTCCCAGCTACTTGGGAGGCTGAGGCAGAGAATCACTTAAACCCAGAAGGCAGAGGTTGCAATGAGCCGAGATCACACCACTGCACTCCAGCCTGGGCAACAGAGCGAGAAACTGTCTCAAAAAAAAAAAAAAAAGCAGTTCTTTTGGAGTACAGTATACTTTCTCCTAGGACATATTTTGGAGTATAGTATACCTCACCTTTCATGACCTGCTAGGACTGGAGTCTAGTTCTAGTCTAGAACCAGACAGGAGTGATGGAGGCAGGTCCTGAGGAGAATGAGCAAGGCAAATGCCTCAGGGAAGGCCATGACACATTCTTCAGGCAAAGGAGGGCTAACTTCTTCAGGCAGTGGTGGAAAGCAGCTACAACTGGCAAAGGAGATGCATCAGAACTTAGGGATTCTGTAGCCTCAGCTTCATCAAGATCTGCCTTGTTCCCATACCAAATTCCAGGATCCTGTTCCTTCTCAGTCAAGGACTCACTTTTGTATTTAATTCAGCCCTTGGCAGATGGAGACTCGGGGGTTGGTTTTCAGAAATCTTTGCCATGTGGCTACAGGAGATGAGGGTTTATTTCAGGACAGACATAGAAGCGTTCAGGTTTTTTATGTGGAGTATGACCTGAGAATTTGAAGGCTTGAGCTCATCCTTTTCTTTTCCTACTACTCAGTGAAGTTAGGAACAATCAGCCAATCTTATTATATTCCGTAGTTTGACTAAAAGCAAATACTTGGACACCCAGAACCTTGCCTCCAGTAGATATTTTATTAGAAGTATCCAGTGGCCATGCCTTGCATATCTCTTACCATATCATAATGTGGACTACCAGTGCCCTCTTTACCACTGAAAATAGAGGCATTGGTGCCTTCAAAACTAACCAGATTAGAAAACCAACTCCAAAAACTCATTCTTATGATTCTGTTTCTCTATAACCACTTCCACTACCAAAATTTCTATCAGTCAAAATCTTTTTTTTTTTTTTTTTTTTTTTTTGAGATGGAATCTCACTTTGTCACCTAGGCTGGTATGCAGTGGCACGATGCCCACTCACTGCAACCTCCACCTCCCAGATTCAAACTATTCTCATGCCTCAGCCTCCCAAGTAGTTAGGATTACAGGCGCGTGCCACCACTCCCGGCTAATTTTTGTATTTTTAGTAGAGACGGGGTTTCACCATGTTGGCCAAGCTGGTCTCGAACTCCTGACTTCAAGTGATCCACCTGCCTCAGCCTCCCAAGTAGTTAGGATTACAGGCGCGTGCCACCACTGCCGGCTAATTTTTGTATTTTTAGTAGAGACGGGGTTTCACCATGTTGGCCAAGCTGGTCTCGAACTCCTGACTTCAAGTGATCCACCTGCCTCGGCCTCCCAAAGTGCTGGAATTACAGGTGTGAGCCACCATGCCTGGCCTCTATCAGTCAAAATCTTAATCAGAACAGAAGGAAATATGTATTAAGAGATTTACTGTAAACAATCATTTATGCAATTGTGGGGACAGGCAAGGCAAGTCTGAAATACACAGGGCAGGCTATCAGATGGAGCTGACTGAAATTCTAAGGCACAAGAAGCTATCAGTAAAATATCAATATCAATAAAATAACTTCACAGTAACACCTAGATTGTAACTAGAGGACTATAGCCCCTGAATAACTGGAGACTATATCCTGGCCAGTTCGATGCATCAAAAATATAATAAATCCCATGTATGAGAGAATGAGGCTAAAAAAGGAAAATAACATCTCAGTATTAAAAAAAAAAAAAGATAGTTTTGACCTCATGGACCCTCTGAAAGATTTTTGTTTTCCAGACAGGGTCTCACTTTGTCACCCAGGCTGGAGCACAGTAGCATGACCACAGCTCACTACAGCCTTAACCTACTGGTCTCAAACGATCCTCCCACTTCAGCCTCCAGAGTAGCTGGACTACAGATGCACACCACCATACCCAGCTAAATTTTTAATTTTTCTGTACAAATGGAGTTTCTTTATTCCCAGGCTGGTATTGAACTTCCAGGCTCAAGCAATCCTGCTGCCTCAACTTCCCAAAATGTTGGGATTACAGGGATGAGCCACAGTGCCCAGTCCCCCTGAAAGGTGGCGAAGCCTTCCAGGAGTAGCTGGGCTACACTTGGAAAAATGCTGGATTACATGAAAGTAAGTATCCAACAAAAAATAATGCCACTTGGAGGTACATTATTTACAGTGGAATTGCCTAATACCCTGTGCCCTATTTAACATATGTGAATTAAATTATATGACTAAAATAATGTAAATAACAAAAATTAAAATAGTGGTCATTCCACTCGGAGACCTTTTTGAAATGGGGAATATAAATGTGCTTTTCCTTCTAGAACTCTCAGTTCCTGGGGGAAGGTCTCTCAAAATGTGAACATTTTCTCCATGGAGTGCAATCCTAGTGTTTAAAGCTATAGTTTATATTTTCAAACTGCTCAGCCCTAAAAGCCACATAAGTACTTCATTTGTGCTCAGTCCAAGAAGTAATGAATCTATTCCAATAATGGAAGCATAACTGCCCAACAGATTCTTCTTGCCCACTGCCCAAATAAAGCCAATTTATTAAGACAAGAGAATTGCAATAGAGAGTTTAGGCCAGGTGCGGTGGCTCACACCTGTAATCCCTGCACTTTGGAAGGTCAAGGTGGGCGGATCACCTGAGATCAGGAGTTTGAGAGCAGCCTGGCCAACATGGTGAAACACAATCTCTACTAAAAATACAAAATTTAGCCAGGCATAGTGGCAGGCACCTGTAATTCCAGCTACTCAGGAGGATGAGGTAGGAGAATCGCTTGAACCTTTGTTATCCCAGCTATCGTCTTTGTTTCAAAGTTAAATGATAAGCTAAATTCCTCCTGTAGTTAGCTTGGCCTACACCCAGGAATGGACAAGGGCAGCTTGGAGGTTAAAGGCAAGAAGGAGTCAGTTAGGTCAGATTTCTTTCACTGTCATAATTTTTCTATGTCAGATTTTTTTTTACTGTCATAATTTTTGCAAAAGGCAGTTTCAGAAGGAAAACTAACATGGTGAGAGGTCGTCTAAAATGGTCACCATGATGGCGAATTTCTAGGGAACTTTTCAAGGATAATATTGATTGATACATCCAACTTTTTCTTAGGCTTTTCTTAGGCTTAAAGCCTAATCCTTGGATCTACTGTTAAAAACTTTAGACAAATTAAACAGAGTTTAATTGAGCAAAGAATGATTCATGAGTCAGACAGCCCACCTTCCAAAACCAGAAATAGATTCAGAGCAACCCTGGCACTACTGTCTGGTCAGCGAAGATTTATAGACAGAAAAAAGAGTGACACACAGAAAATGCAAGTGAGGTACAGAAAGAGCTGGATTGGTTACAGCTCAGTGTTTGTCTTGCTTAAATAGCTGGCCACCTGTGAATGATTGAAGTATGGCTGCTGTCTTGAGAGTTGGCTTCTTGCTCTTGCTACAAGAGTAGGTTATAGTCTGTTTACACATCCATTTACACATCCAGTTTGCTATGTACAGATAAACCTTTAGGCCAAACTTAAAATATGTAAGGAGGTAGCTTTAGGCTAAACTTTATCTATTTGTTTGTTTATTTATTTAAAGAGAAACTCGCTCTGTTGCCCAGGCTTGAGTGCAGTTGCGCCGTCTCAGCTCACTGCAAGCTCCACCTCGAGGGTTCAAACGACTCTCCTGCCTCAGCCTCCCAAGTAGCTGGGATTACAGGCATACGCCACTACATCTGGTTAATTTTTGTATTTTTAGTAGAGACTGGGTTTCACCATGTTGGCCAGGCTGGTCTTGAACTCCTGACCTCAGGTGATCTGCCTGCCTTGCCCTCCCAAAGTGCTGGGACTTAATCTAGTCTTATTGGAACCACTGTCATAGTATCTGATACCTGAACCTACTATATCAAGTCTTCAAAGTAGTAGTGAGAGCTAGAGGTGAGAATTTTCATCCCAGGGCAAACGATGTTGTCATTACACACTTGCTGAATTGAATGGAGGGTCTCACAGGGGCAAGTATGAAGCTTGAAGGAGTGGGTACACAGGTGAAGAGAAACCTCTGAAGAGAAAGCCCAGGCTCTCCTCTTCCCAACTCATTTATATACTGGTTATATGTAAATCAGCAGTCACAAGCCAGAGAACCACAGGCCAGATGCCCTTTACAAAGGTCTCATAAAATGTTCTCTAAAAACTTTGAGTTGGCTGGGCAGTGTTTCCCACCTGCAATCCCAGCACTTTGAGAGGCTGAGGTGGGAAGATTGCTTGAGCCCAGGAGTTTGGACCAGCCTGGGCAACACAGTGAGACCCCATCTCTACAAAAACTAAATTTTAAAAATTAGCCAGGCCAAGTGTTATACACTTGTAGTCCCCACTACTCAGGAGGCTGGGGTGAGAGGATTGCTTGAGCCTGGGAGATAGAGGGTGCAGTTGAAAAATTGCCATTGCAAAATTATGACAGTAAGAGAAATCTGACATAGTTGACTCCATCTTGCTTCTAACCTCCAAGCTATCCTTGCTTATTCTTGGGTGCACACCAAGCTAACTTTGGGAGAAATTTGTAGTTTAAATGATAGTAACCCTTCCCAAAACTAAACTGCCTTTCTAAAACTAAAGAAAGTCCAGCAGGTTAGAAGGATGACAGGGGCCCGAATTCTGCTAAAATGTGGGCTTAAACAATTACCAGCCATTATTCTGGAGGTCACAAGACTCGCAACTTCTCCAATTCACTATTTCAGAACCTAAGATTGGCCTTTTGGGACATCTCTTTAGACTTTTGCATTTCTGAGAACTAGATGGCTCCACCCAGACCCTCAACTCTTAGTTCAACTGGTCCTGTAGCCCCTACCCAGAAGCAGACTCAGTGTGCAAGGACCATTGTCCACAGCCCTATGATTGCTTCTCCAACCAATCAGCAGCACCCATTCCCTTAGCCCACTGTGCACCAAACTATCCCTGAAAGACCCTAGCCTCTGAATTGTCAGGGAGATTGATTTGAGTAATAACTCCATCTCCCTATGTGGTGTGGCCAGCCTTATGTCAATTAAACTCTTTCCTTACTACAATGTCATGGTCACAGTGAATTGATTTTGTCTGTGCAGCCCACAGGAAGAACCTGTTAGGTGATTACACAGTAAGCCATGATCATGTCACCACACACCAGCCTGGGCAACAGAGCAACACCCTGTTTCAATAAATAAATGGCCAGGCTCAGTGATTCATGCCTATAATCCCAGCACTTTGGGAAGCCAAGGCAGGTGGATCACTTGAGGTCAGGAGTTCGAGACCAGACTGACCAACATGGTGAAACCCCATCTCTACTAAAAATACAAAAATTAGCCAGGCGTGGTGGTGGGTGCCTGTAATGCCAGCTACTTGGTAGGCTGAGGCAGGATAATCACTTGAACCCGGAAGGCAGAGGCTGCAGTGAGCTGAGATCACACCACTGCACTCCAGCTTGGGCGACAGAGGGAGACTTCGTCTCAAAAAAGTAAATAAATACATTTTAAAAATTTGAATTGATTGCCCACATATTAAAATATTGACACTAAAATTAAAATGCCTATATTATTCTAAAATCAGGTGTTAGAGAGGGAAAAAAATTACTTCCCTCCACCCTTCTCGGTTCTCGTATATCTCTTTTGGCTGGGCTATAAATTAAATTGACATAAAGCAGATTAACAGGAGAAAAAACATACTGAATTACATATATATGTACAAGAGTCCCACAAAATATGGAACTTGAAAAGGGGCTGGGTGATTGAAGCTTTCAAAGCACTCTGAGCTACTGAAGGGAATACGGGCTTGGAGCTTTTGGGGTGTGGTAAAGACAAGTTATGAGAGGGTGAGGGGAGGAAATGCATGGTAGATAAAAGCTGTCTTGTTTTGGGGGGTTTTGTTTGTTTGTTTGTTTTTGTTTTTGAGATGGAGTCTCGCTCTGTCGCCCAGGCTGGAGTTCAGTGGCACGATCTCAGCTCACTGCAACCTCTGCCTTCTGGGTTCAAGCAATTCTCCCACCTCAGCCTCCCAAGTAACTGGGACTATAGGCGTGCACCACCACACCTGGCTAATTTTTGTATTTTTAGTAGAGACAGGGTTTCACTGCGTTGGCCAGGCTAGTCTTGAACTCCTGACATCAGGTGATCTGGCTGCCTCAGCCTCCCAAAATGCTGGGATTACAAGCATGAGCAAACACACCCGGCCGAAAGCTATCTTGTTATGCAGATGAAGTCTCTCAGGTAATAAAAGTAATCTGAAGTAGCCCTCTTCCTGATACAGATACTTTTACTAATGTAGATTTCCTTTATAGATCTAAATTTCTTTTATAAAATGAGTTTTTCAGAGCTTCCTGATAGATACTTTTACTAATGTAGATTTCGTTTATAGATCTAAATTTCTTTTATAAAACAAGAGCTTTTCAGAGCTACTCCTGTGTCTGCAGTTCCTTAGAATAACCAGCTTGAAATATGCCAAAGAAGTATATTTTGAGGTGTCATAGTCTGGTCTCCTATAGTCATGTTTTGGGGTGGTGGGTCCTGAGCCCCAACACAGGCAACCCTGAGCTCACATGTCTGCAGAACGTAACCTCTTCAGTGTGTCCCCTCTCCATCTCTTCCACGGTCTTTTGTCATCACCCTGGCATTGACATATCTCTTATATCAAGCAGTGGCTCACACCTGTAATCCCAGCACTTTGGGAGGCTGAGGTGGGTGGATCACCTGAGGTCAGGGGTTCAAGACCTGCCTGGCCAACACAATGAAACCCAATCTCTACTAAAAATAGAAAAATCAGCCAGATGTGGTGCACCTGTAACCCCAGCTACTAAGGAGGCTGAGGCAAGAGAATTGCTTGAACCCGGGAAGCAGAGGTTGCAGTGAGCTGAGATCACAGCACTGCACTTCAACCTGGGTGACAGAGTGAGACTCTGTCTCAAAAAAAAAAAAAAAGAAGAAGAAGAAAATGACATGTACTTTGTACCTAAGTACTTATCAAAATGTGTCTTAACCCCAGCTTACTTTCTGCTTTTCATCACCTGTCCAGCCTCTTTCAGTAGGCATTTGAATTTAACTGTTGATAAACTTCAGTTAGTGCCAGTTAATCAGAACCTCTTCCCCTGGGACTTCTAATACCCCAACACTACAAAGCTTTAGATTTTCAGTATTCGTAAGGAAAGGTGTGATACCTTTCCTCACTCATCACCAGGGTCACAGCCAACAGCCCTATAACAAAAGACAGGTTAACAAGAGAAAAGAACGACAAATTTATTTAATCAAAGTTTAACACGACATAGGCGCCTTCAGAAATGAAGACCTCAAGCCCCAAGGAAAACTGTCTATTTTTATGCTTCACTTCGATGAAGAATGGACAGGTATGTAGAACTGTGATTGGACAAAAGGCTATAGCCTAATGGTAATAGACTGAGGGCAGACACCCAGCAAGGCCTGTCCATTCAGATTCTTCTTGGCCTCTCTGTGTAGCATTCTTTCCTCCCAGGTAAGGCAGGACTGTTACAGGAAAGGAGTCCAGATCCAGACCCCAAGAGAGGGTTCCTGGATCTCATGCAAGAAAGAATTCAGGATGAGTCCGTAAAGTGAAAGCAAGTTATTAGGAAAGTAAAGGAATAAAAGAATGGCAACTCCATAGACACAGCAACCCTGAGAGCTTCTGGTTGCCCATTTTTATGGTTATTTCTTGATGATATGCTAAACAAGGAGTGGATTATTCATGCCTCCCCTTTTCAGACCATATAGGGTAACTTCCTGATGTTGCCATGTCATTTGTAAATTGTCACGGTGCTGGTGGGAGTGTAGCAGTGAGAATGACCAGAGCTCACTATTGTTGCCATCCTGGTTTTGGTGTCTTTTAGCCGGCTTCTTTACTGCAACCTGTTTTATCAGCAAGGTCTTCACGACCTTGTGCTGACCTTCTGTCTCATCCTGTGACTTAGAATGCCTAACCATCTGGGAATGCAGTCCATAAATAAGTCTCAGCCTCATTTTACCTAGCCCCTATTCAAGATGGAGTTGCTCTGGTTCAAATGCCTCTCACAGAATCCCTCTGGAATAATGGTGTTCAAGGAAGAAAGGCAAAGAAATAGAGAGTGAATGTTCTAGGTTTTATGGCTTGCTTTGGGGCAGAGAGGTTCTAGTGTCTATGACCCACCTTGGAAAAGAGGAATTGCTTCCGGGGAGAAAGACAGGCAGAGTGGGGAGACAGGAGAATTGGGGAAAGTCAGAAAGACCTTGCTTCTGGCTGAGCATGGTGGCTCACGCCTGTAATCCCAGCACTTTGGGAGGCCGAGGCAGGCTGATCACCTGAGGTTGAGAGTTCAAGACCAGCCTGGCCAACATGGAGAAACCCTCTCTCTACTAAAAACACAAAAATTAGCCAGGTGTAGTGGCAGGCCCCTGTAATCCCAGCTACTCAGAAGACTGAGGCGGGAGAATCACCTGAACCCAGGAGGCAGAGGTTGCAGTGAGCTGAGATCGCACCACTGCACTCTAGTGTGGGCGACGAGAGCAAAACTCCATCTCAAAAAAAAAAAAAAAGAAAAAAAGAAAGTCCTTGCTTCTGAGGCCTTCCAATATCCTTTAGTTCAATGCACTCAAAATGCCAGAGCTGGGCACAGTGGCTCATGCCTGTAATCCCAACACTTTGGGAGGCCAAGATGGAAGGATTGCTTGAGACCAGGAGTTCCAGACTAGCCTGGGACTAGTGAGACCCCATCTCTACAAAAATTTAAAAATTAGCTGGGCATGGTGGCACATGCCTATAGTACCAGCTACTCGGACGTCTGGGATGGGAGGATCCCTTGGGCCCAAGAGTTCAAGGCTGCAGTCAGCCATGATTGCACCACCACATTCCAGCCTGGGCAACAGATCGAGACCCTATCTCTAAAAAGGAAAGAGGGCCAGGCAAGGTCGCTTATGCCTATAATCCCAGCACTTTGCAGCCCTTTGGGAGGCCGAGGTGGGTGGATCACTTGAGGTCAGGAGTTCGAGACCAGCCTGGCCAACATGGTGAAATCCCATCTCTACTAAAAATACAAAAATTAGCCGGGCGTGGTGGAGAGCGCCTGTAATCCCAGTTACTTGGGAGGTTGAGGCACGAGAATTGCTGAACCTGGAAGACAGAGGTTGCAATGAGCCAGGAGCATGCCACTGCACTCCAGCCTGGGCAATAGAGTGAGACTCAGTCAAAAAAAAAAGAAAGAGAGAGAGAGAAAGAGAGAGAAAGAGAAAGAGATAAAGAAAGAAAGAGAGAGAGTGAGTTGTATGTGTGGGACAGAAGAGAGAGAGAAAGAAAGAAAGAAAGAAAGAAAGAAAGAAAGAAAGAAAGAAAGAAAGAAAGAAAAAAAGAAAAGAAAAGAAAAGAAAAGAGAAAAGAAAAGAAAAGATAAGACAAGACATTACTCAGCATGCTGGCCAGGCGCAGTGGCTCATGTCTGTAAGCCCAGCACCTTGGGAGGCCGAAGAGGGTGGATCACCTGAGGTCAGGAGTTTGAGATCAGCCTGGCCAACATGGTGAAATCCTGTCTCTACTAGAAATACAAAAATTATCCGGGCGTGGTGGTGGGCACCTGTAATCCCAGTTCTTTGGGAGGTTGAGGCAGAGAATCTCTTGAACCCAGGAGGCAGAGGTGACAGTGAGCCGAGATCATGCCATTTCACTTCAGCTGGGACAACAGAGCGAGACTCTGTCTCAAAACAACAACAAAAAAAAACCATTACTCAGCATGCCCTTAGTTTGGGGTATTGTGTTCTGAGCCCCAGTAGCCGATTCCCATGAAGAAGTAAGTTTTTCCTTTTCTTTCCTTCCTTCCTTTCTTTTCTTTTCTTCTTTCTTTCCTTCTTTCCTTCTTTCTTTTAAGGAAAGATTAGAGAAGGAATTTGAGGGCCAAGTACCCTGTGTTGCCAGGATAATACTAGGACCAAAAACTCCACCATAGACTTTGACACCTCTGGGAAGTGAAGAAAGGTGATGAAGGAGAATAAAATGGAAAGATGATAAAAATGTTGTTAAAAGTTTCCACTAAAAAAAAATACTCACTCAGGGAGAGGCTTCTTCCTCAGGAAGTTTTAGCTACATTATCCCCAATAATATCCACCCAGAATATTTCTCTGATTTTAGAATTATTATTATTATTATAACCATGAAAACCTTTAACAGGCTTTTTAAATTTGGCTTTATATTAGAATTTTCTGGATGATAGCAACATTTTATCTAGATGCTGATACAATATCTAGCCTTCTAACCCTACCTGAGTGGGTAAGGCTCTCACCTCTTTAGAGAGAGTATTGCAACCACATCTACACACACACGTGCACACATACACATAGGCATATACATAATGTCCTGATGATTTGGTGACATCGAGCATGATTTATAAATCTCTAATGGTATAATCACACACCACCAAGAGACATTCGTGATTAGAAAAGTCATAGAGATTGACTTTTCTGTCTTTGGTCCTTAAAGTATTATTAACAGTTCAGGGAAAATAAAAATCTTTAAATCTTTTATTTATTTTTTTTTTTTAGACAAGGTCTCGCCCCATCGCCCAGGCTGGAGTGCAGTGGTGCGATCACGGCTCATGGTAGCCTCAACCTCCCAGGCCCAAGCAATCCTCCCATATCAGCCTCCCAAGTAGCTGGAACTACAGGCACGTGCCACCATGCCTGGCTAATTTTAAAAAAATTTCTGTAAAGACAGAGTTTCACTATGTTGCCCACACTGATCTCAAACTCCTGAACTCAAGCAATACTCCCAAAGTGCTGGGATTACAGGCATGAGCCACCATGCCTGGCCTAAAAAACTTAAAAATTAGATAAAAAAAAAAAACAAAATGCAGCTGTGAATTAACTATTTAGACAGGCTGCCCAAACTAGAAACTTATCAGTTTCTTAAATGTTATTAAGAGGCATACCCTCCCTTTACTAAAGCAGGATAAAAATAAGTAGATTGATAAAGAGAACAAATTTTTCCCAGAATTAGTCTTGAACTCTTTTATTCTACAAGTTCACAAGCTAAAAGTCTGTTCAAATCAAGAGTTGTCTTTAATTAATGGACTGCTGTCACCACCCTGTAATATAAAGTGCTAAAGTTTATTTCTGCACTTTGAGCAGAGAGCAACTAGCTGATGGCAACAATTAAAAAGAAAATAATTTGCTGACTAATTACTAGCTTCAATGTACCCTGGCCTCTGTTAAAAATAAAATCTCTTCAACTACGGTGATGGCTGTTATAACACATTTCTATTATTCATAATGCCTCAACCATTACTCTTTTTTTTTTCTGAGACGGAGTCTTGCTCTGTCCCCCAGGCTGGAGTACAGTGGCTCGATCTCAGCTCACTGCAACCTCTGCCTCCCGGGTTGAAGCAATTCTGCCTCAGCCTCCCAAGTAGCTGGGATTACAGGCACATGCCACCATGCCTGGATAATTTTTGTATTTTTAGTAGAGACAGGGTTTCACTATGTTGGCCAGGCTGGTCTCGAACTCCTGACCTCATGATCCACCTCCCAAAGTGCTGGGATTACAGGTGTGAGCCACCACGCCCAGCCACCATTACTCTTATTTATCCCCTCCTGGTGTCTTCTTCCTAGAGTTCTGAAGGAAAAACACTCCCCATCAAACCAGAGTTTGAAACAGGTAATGGTGTCAAGGACCCTAATTTCCTAGCATGATTCCTATGCTTCACTTATTTCCACTATTCTTATTGTTATTTTAACAAAAACTTTTTTGTTTTACTTATATTTAAATCTATCAGATATTGTTTTCACTAGAAGACTGATAACATTTGGGGCAAGATCTCAATATAAATGCAATGCATGAGTAAATAATCCTATGAAAAGAATTCTCATTGGTTCTCAAAATGGGGTCCCTGGAACTCATGAGGGGCACAGACACACTCTCAAAGGCCTGTAAGCCACCTGTGAAAAATTTTTGTTTTGGTTTTCATTAATAGGATGACCTACAATTAGCACATGCCTCATGAGTAACCATTTAGAGTTGTATATTGCCAAATTTGCACTTACAACATGGCTGACACCTATTCTTTAAATCCAATATTTCTTTTTTAAAAAAAGATTTTTACAGCCTGGCCAACATGGTAAAACCCTGTCTATAATAAAAATACAAAAATTAGCCAGGCGTGGTGGCGCGTGCCTGTAATCTCAGCTGCTCAGGAGGCTGAGGCAGGAGAATCGCCTGAACCTGGGAGGTGGAGGTTGCAGTGAGCCGAGATTGCACCACTGCACTCCATCCTGGGCAAAAGTGTGAAACTCCATCTCAAAAAAAAAAAAAAAAAAAGATTTTTAGAGACAGGGTCTCACTCTGTTGAGTGAGTGGTGTGATCATAACTCAATGCAGCCTTGAACCCCTGGGCTTAAGTGATCCTCCCATCTCTGCCTCCCAAAGCACTGAGATTAATTACATGGATGAGCCACTGTGCCTAGCCTAATATTTATTAAGTTAGAGTTTATAAACAACAACTCTGGGATCTGAGAATTCTCCTGTTTGAGCATCCTAGGAGAATGGTGATATGGTTCTGAATCTGATGAACTTGAAGCTAGAGGAAGTGTTTTTTGAAACCAGGAAAACCTAGCTTATGAGATTATTATAAAAGACCTTAAAAAGCAGGTGATTCACTTACCTACATGTGTCAAACGAATCAAGGAAAATATCTCTTTTCTTACTACGGACTGAAGTCTCAGCCTCTTAAATTTTCCTGTTGATCTGCCTTTTTGTGGTGATAGATGTCAACTTGACTGGATTAAAGAATACCTAGAGAACTGATAAAGCATTACATCTGAATGTATCTGTGAGGATGTTCTTAGATGAGCAGTTGTATACCAATTCATGGGCTATAGCCAGTGGTTTGGCTGGATGGTCAGGGACATGAAAGGAACATGATTAGAGAACTGGTGACAAAGCAATTTGGGAAGGAGTTACTGGCTAGACCTCTCTGAGTGGGCAAAAGACATGAAGATATTTGTGTCCCATGTGAATGCTCACCAAAGGGTCACTTCAGCACAGGAAAACTTTGGTAATCAAGTGGCTAGAATGACCTGTTCTGTGGATACCAATTGGCTTCTTACCCTAGTCACCCCTGTCAATGGCCAATGGGCTCACGAACAAAGTGGCCACGGTGGGAGGGATGAACAATATGGATTGGGCTCAGCATCATGGACTTTCACCCACCAAGATGGGCCTGGCTACAGCCACTGCTGAGTGTCCAATATGCCAGCAGCAGAGACCAGCACTGAGCCCCTGATATGGCATCATTCCCCAGAGTAGTCAACCAGTTACATGGGACACTTCCATCATGGAAGGGGCAGCATTTTATCTTTACTGGAATAGACGCTCTGGATATGGATGTGCCTTCTCTGCACACAGTGCTTCTGCCAAAACTACCATCCATGTACTTACAGAATGCATTATCAGGCTGGGCGCAGTGGCTCACACCTATAATCCCAGCACTTCGGGAGGCCGAGGTGGGCAGATCACTTGAGGTTAAGGGTTTGAGACCAGCCTGGCAAACATGATGAAACCCCATCTCTACTAAAAATACAAAAATTAGCCAAGAGTGGTGGTGTGCACCTGTAATCCCAGCTACTCGGGAGGCTGAGGCAGGAGAATCGCTTGAACCCAGGTGGCAGAGGTTGCAGTAAGCCAAGATTGCTCTACTGCACTCCAGTCTGGGTGACAAGAGTGAAACTCCATCTCAAAAACAAAAACAAAAATACAGAATGCCTTATCCACTATCATAGTATTCCACACAGCAGTGCTTCTGACCAAGGAACTCACTCCACAGCCAAAGAAGTGAATCAGCGGGCTCTTGTTCCTGGAATTCACTGGTCTTATCATCTTCCCTAATATCCTGAGGCATATGGCTTGACAGAATGATGGAATGGCCTTTCAAAGTCAGTTACGGTGCCAGCTAGGTGACAATACTTTGAAAGGCTGGGGCAAGGTTCTCCAGAAGGCTGTATGTGCTCTGAATCAGCATTCAATATATGGTACTATTAATCCCATTGCCAGGATTTATGAGTCCATGAATCAATGAATCAAGGGGGATATGGGAATGGCGCCAGTCACCATCACCCCTAGTGACCAACTAGCAAAATCCTTGCTTCCTGTTTGTGCAACTTTGTGCTCTGCTGGCCTAGAGGTCTCAGTTCCAGAGGGATGAATGTTGCTACCAAGATTCACAACAATGACTTCATTGAACTGAAAGTTAAGACTGCTACCCAGCCACTTTGGTTTCCTCATGCTTCTGAGTCAGTAGGCTAAGAAGGGAGTTACAGTGTTGACTGGGATGACTGATCCAGACTACTAAGGGGAAATTGGACTATTATTCCACAATGGTGGTAAGGAAGCATGTGTCTGGAATATAGGAGATCCCTTAGGGCATCTACTAGTATTACCTTACCCTGTGATTAAGGTCAATGGGAAATTACAACAACCCAATCCAGGCAGGATTATGACTGGCCAAGACCCTTCAGAAATAAAGGTTTGGGTCACCCTGCCAGGTAAGGAACCACAACCAAGTGAGGTGCTTGCTGAAGGCAAAAGGAATACAGAATGTGTACTGGAAGACGGTGGTTATAAATACCAACTATAACCACATGACCAGTTACAGAACTGAGGACTATAATTGTCATGATTATTTCCTCACTATTTTGTTAAAAATATTTTTATAGGCATTGTGGTTTATACCTGTAATCCCAGCACTTTGGGAGGCCGAGGCAAGAGGATGGCTTGAGCCCAGGAGTTCAAGACTAACCTGGGCAACATAGTGAGACTTTATCTCTACAAATGATTTAAAAATTAGCTGGGTGTGGTGGTGCATGTGTGTAGTCCCAACTACTCAGGAGGCTGAGGTGGGAGGACTGATTGAGCCCAGGAGATCGAGGCTGCAGTGAGCTGTGATTTTGCCACTGCACTCCAGCCTGGGCAACAAAGTGAGATCCTATCTCAAAATAAAAAATAAATAACTTTAAAAAAAGAATATGTTTTTGTGTATATACACATATTAAGCAAATGACCTGTTTTTGTTCCTCTCTTATTCTTTTATCATATAACATAAAGTACATTGACTTTGTGTCAGTATTTAAGTATTGCTAATTTTACTTCATAGTATTTAAGTTATAGGATATCAGGAAAAGAGTAAACATCACCCAGGGACTTTATTTCCTTTTCTAGGGAAGAGATACACGCACTTTTGTTTGTACACAAGATAGTTTTATCATGTTAATCAGAATTATTACCTTGTTATTGTCTTTACTTGGAAATTAAGTATGTTTTAAGGAGATACATGTGGGTGCCAAGCTGACAAGGGGTGAACTTTTTTGTTTTTTAATTTTTGAGACGGAGTCTCGCTCTGTCGCCCAGCCTGGAGTACAATGGTGCAATCTAGGCTCACTGCCATCTCTGCCTCCAAGGTTCAAGCGATTCTCCTGCCTCAGCCTTCTGAGTAGCTGGGATTACAGGCATGCGCCACCACACCATGCGAATTTTGTGTTTTTAGTAGAGATGAAGTTTCACCATTTTGGCCAGGCTGGTCTTGAACTCCTGACCTCAAGTGATCCACCCAAAGTGGATCTCCCAAAGTGCTGGGATTACAGGCGTGAGCCAACATGGCTGGCTGGGGATTGACTTTTGATGGTTAATTTTAGATGTCAACTTGACTGGATTAAGAAATAGCCAGATAACTGGTAAAGCATTACTTCCAGGCATGTCTGTGAGGGAATGGGCGTGTGAGTTGGTGGACTGAGTGGGAAAGATCCATCCTCAGTATGAGCAGTTGGCTGGGGGCCCACATAGCACAAAAAAGAAGAGAAGCAGGATTTTCTTTTTCCCCTCCTGAAGCGAGGACACTTTCCTCCTCCTGCCCTTGGAAATAAGAACTCCAGACTTGGCCTTGCAACTTCAGACTTACACCAGCAACCCTGCATGTGCTCAGGTCTTTGGCCTCAAACTGAGAATTACACATCAGCTTTCCTGGTTCTGAGGCTGTCAGACTTGGACTGAGCCACACTACCAGCATCCCAGGATCTCCAGCTTACAACTGCCTGTTGTGGGACTTCTCAGCTTCCATAATCACATGAACCAAGTCCTCTAATAAATTCCCTCTATCTGTCTATATTCTATTGGTTCTGCTCTCTGGAGAACACTAACACACTTTATAAAAGTGCTCCTGAGGGGCAGTTCCTTTTTCTTTTTTTTTTTTTTTTTTTTAAGGCAGAGTCTTACTCTGTTGCCCAGGCTGGAGTGCAGTGATGCAGTCTTGGCTCATTGCAACTTCCGCCTCCTGGGTTCAAGTTATTCTCAGGCCTCAGCCTCCTGAGTAGCTGGGACCACAGATGCGCACCACCATGCCCAGCTAATTTTGTATTTTCAGTAGAGACAGGGTTTCATCATGTTGCCCAGGCTGTTCTCAAACTCCTGGCCTCAGGTGATCCTCCTGCCTCAGTCTCCCAAAGTGCTGGGATTATAGACATGAGCCACCAGCCTGGGGCAGTTTCTTTTCTTTTCTTTTTCTTTTTTTTTTTTTTTTTTTTTGAGACAGAGTCTTGCTCTGTCGCCAGCCTGGAGTGCAGTGGTACGACCTCGGCTCACTGCAACCTCCGCCTCCTGGGTTCAAGTGATTCTCCTGCCTGAGCCTCCCAAGTAGCTGGGATTACAGGCACGCACCACCACACCCAGCTAATTTTTGTATTTTTAGAAGAGACAGGGTTTCACCACGTTGGCCAGGATGGTCTCAATCTTTTGCCCTCGTGATCCACCCGCCTCAGCCTCCCAAAGTGCTGGGATTACAGGCATGAGACACCACGCCCAGCTGGGGCAGTTTCTTACTAGCTCCTCTCCTATCTAGATAATACCAAGAGACCTGGATAATACTGTGACCCAGTCTCCCCAGTATTCCTATAGCCAAGGCCATGCAAATATATAAATCTCTTGCAGAGATCCTGCAAGATTGCCTAGGAATGAGCTATCCTGATGAGACAGGTTCCTTTTGTAGGAGTCCTGTGTTGTTACAGTAAGACAGAATGTCAAAAACAGGGGCCCAGCACTACCTAAGTGTGATTATCTCCCTTTGATATACATGAAGTGGCTTTCTTTTTTCAGACGGAGTTTTGCTCTTGTTGCCCAGGCTCGAGTGCAATGGCTCACTGCAACCTCCGCCTCCCGGATTCAAGCAATTCTCCTGCCTCAGCCTCCTGAGTAGCTGGGATTACAGGTAGCTGCCACCATGCCTGGCTAATTTTTGTATTTTTAGTGGAGACCAGTTTTCACCGTGTTGGTCAGGCTGGTCTCAAACTTCTGACCTCAGGTGATCTGCCCACCTCAGGTGATCTGCCCACCTCAGCCTCCCAAAGTGCTGGGATTACCAGCATGAGCCACCACACCCGACCGTGGCTCTTAAATTTTAAGATCAAAACCATGATTTCATCAAAAATCTTGTGGCCAGTTCATAATAATCAAATTCACAGGAGACTGAGTTATAAGTCAGAATGCCTTGTACTGTGCTGTATGTATTTTTCTAGTAACTAGAACATCTTTGAAGTATAATGCCTCCTCCTTCACTATGTCAGAGGGATGGAAGTCCAAACTCATCGTCAGAAGAAATGAGAGTGAGAGAGCAGTATACTGTTGAGGGCTTTTTTATCCAGGCCAGGAAAAGCCTGAAATGAGGCCACTGTTGTGTGGCTGAAGGATGAGTGACCAACATGCAGTGCCTCTGTTGGCCAGGTGACCTGCACACAGTCCAGGTGGGGCTCTCTGGTGTCTCCCTGTGTTCCCGATTCACCTGGACTCCCTGTCTTCCTTCGTTAAACAGATTACAATAACCAGTGATATCACAACTTACTTTCATATTAGTCATATTTTTAGTCATTTATCTGGGAAATCTACTCAGGTCAGCTTCATGGGTGTTCCCCACATCTCTTCAGGACCACATTTACCAGTTTTTTTGTGATGGGATTTATTGCTACAAATGACATTATGCATAGTTTCAATCATCCCCTTGGTTCAGAATAAGCAATTGAGGGGGGAAATGATAGGCAATAAATAAATATATATATTATTCTCATTCTCAAAGAATATTCTTATTTTCAAATTCTGACAATCTGGGGATGTCTTACTCCATACATATAATTACTTTATTAGTAATCTCCTAATGAAAAAGTCCATTTATTCCATAGGCAAATGTGGAAGGCATAATATATTATATATATCCCAGATATGATGATGAATCTTAGGAGGTTAATGAATAAAATGATCCCATGCCTGGTGAAGAAAGGACTATAAATACAGAGTAACCTAGAAGGAATCCACTTTTGCATCTTTCAAACTATTTTCCACTCTGCTGTTAGAGCCGTCATTTCTAAAGCAAGCATCACTGTATTGTGATTTACTCAGTCTTATAGTCATGTGTAAGTTATCAACAATCCAGCATAGGTTGGGTTATGCCAAGCCCAGTCTCATCCCTCCTTACTGCTCTCCTGGTCGAAGGTAAAGACTCTAGGACAAAATCTCTGATCTTCGGCAAGCAATTCTTTTTTTTCTTTTTCTTTTTCCAACTGGGTCTCACTGTGTCACACAGGCTGGAGTGCAGTAGCAAGATCATGGCTCACTGCAGCCTCAACCTCCTGGGCTCAAGCAATCCTCCTGCCTCAGCCTCCTGAATAGCTGGGACTACAGGTGTGTGCCACTATGCCCAGCTATTTTTAAAATAATTTGTAGGCCGGGCATGGTGGCTCATGCCTGTAATCCCAACACTTTGGGAGGCTGAGGTGGGCAGATCACCTGAGGTCAGGAGTTCGAGACCACCCTGGCCAGTGATGGCCAACGTGATGAAACTCCATCTCTA
The DNA here is from genome assembly GCF_000001405.40 of Homo sapiens. Lineage (NCBI taxonomy): Eukaryota > Metazoa > Chordata > Mammalia > Primates > Hominidae > Homo > Homo sapiens. Next base: position 83,511,587 of record NC_000004.12, on the reverse strand, counting down.
CTAAACATACAAAAATAGGCTGGGTATGGTGGCTCATGCTTGTAATCCCAGCACTTTGGGAGGCCAAGGCGGGCAGATCACTTGAGGTCAGGAGTTTGTGACCAGCCTGGCCAACATGGTGAAACCTCATCTCTACTAAAAACTACAAAAATTAGCCAGGTGTGGTGGTAGGCACCTGTAATCTCAGCTATGTGGGAGGCTGAGGCAGGAGAATCACTTGAACCCGGGAGGTGGAGTTTGCAGTGAGCCGAGATTGCAACACTGCACTCCAGCCTGGGCAACAGAGGGAAGCTCCGCCTCAAAAAAAACAAAACGAAACAAAAATTAGCTAGGTACAGTGCCAGGCACCTGTAATCCCAGCTACTTGGGAGGCTGAGGCAGGAGAATTGCTTGAACCTGGGAGGAGGAGGGTGTAATGAGCAGAGATGGCGCCACTGCACGGCAGCCTGGGCAACAGAGTGAGACTGTCTCAAAAAAAGAAATAAAATAAAATAAATCAATGAATAAATAAATAATTTGCAGAGACAGGGTCTTACTATGTTGTCCAGACTAAAGCAATTCTTGAGTAAGCTCACACCTATCTTCCCAAGGGAAGGTCTACTTTGCTGTACCACACTCATCAGGTGTAAATAAAGTCAAGAAACATCTTTCAACACAGAAGTAAATGAGTCCCAGGGCACAGTAATCATTTAACCATACACAATTACTTAAAATTGGCACTGCCCACCACTTATGTCTAAAACATCTACAATCTTTTCTTTCAGTTTCCTCCTAAAAATGAAGGATAAGTGCTTGCTTTACATTTGTGCAATTAAAGGGTCCATTCACATGATTTCCCACAACAAAGAAACAGTTCACAATTGACTCAAAATGAGATTCCAAAATATATTTTAGTTTTCTCTTTCAGCTCAGGCAACCCTTTCCCCAAGTTTTGATCATCACTGCATAAGTCTTATTTGTAGTAAGAGGTCATAAGGTAGAGAGCTGCAAATAGTGCTGCCCTAAATTGGAAAGTGGTCTATTTGTCAACAATGTGCTTAAGATTGAAACTGGCCCGCTAACGCCATTTTAGGCCTGAGCCTGCCTGTACCCAGGCGCTCATTAAAACAGCATGTTGCTCCACACCGCCCCATATTGTCTGTCAGCTCGCTCTCAGGGTTCAGACCGATACAAGACTCTTACATCTGGTGCCGAAACCCGGGAGGGGTTCAGGTCTGCATCCCCTATGGACCTACCCCTCCACCCCAGAAAGCAGGCCACAGTAGCCAGACAAAGGAAGCTCCTCAGCCTCCAGTCACCTCTCTGTGCATGCACATCCATCACTGGACTCGCCTACTGGTAAGTTTCCCCGGGAGCCTGGTTTGGTTTACAGGGGAAAATCTGCACGGCTTCTCTTGGTTTCTCCGGTACGAAAATCCAACATTGGTCCAAGAAGGCTCCCATGTGTGCCAGGCACTTGCTGATCATCTGGTCTTAGGGGGACACCTCTAAGCCATTTGATCCTGTTCCCAAACGAAAAAGGCAGCGGTGATGATTGCTCCTTTCATTGTCTCCCTCCGGCTGTCCAGGATGGTCTACTTTTCCCTGTTCTCCCGAGCCTACCCTCAGTTATGGGAAACTCCTGGTCCTACATTCCAAAAAACAACCCTCTAGGCTGCCTCTCCAAATGGCCCACAATGGAACATTCGAGTTTACAGTTTTAACTGACTTAAGCAATTATTGCCAACGTCTGGAGAAATGGGGAGAAATTCCTTATGTCCAGGCCTTTTTGCATTCAGCTCACAACCTGACCTCTGCAATTCTTGCTTATCTGTTCAAATCCTTCTCCTCCATTCTCACCGCCCTGATAGCCTTTCTCCTCCCGACCCTACCTCTTTTTCCCTCGTTCAATCTAGCTGACTGCTGTTCACCCCTCCCAGCCCCTACCCCTTCCTCTCAATCATCTTCTTTAACCCCCCAAGCCTCCTTGTTATCTTCTCAGCCGCCATCTTCCCAGCTGCCATTTTCCCAGCCAACGTCTTCCCAGTGATCATCTTCCCAGCCACCATCTTCCCAGTCAGCTGTATCCACTTCTTTTCCTACACCATCCCCTCCTCAGGGCAATTCTAGTATTGCCTGTACCCATTCTCCTCCTCTACTGCCCTCTCCTGAGGTTTGTAAACCCATTCCACCACCTTACGCCCCTATCTATCCTCCACTGCCTGTTAACTCCCCTTCCCCCTTCAAACCCTCAGCAGGAACCACTTCCAAGTTCTTCCTTCTCTCCTGCCCATACTGGCTCAGGCGCCATCTTTGGCCCATGCCCCATTCTTACTTCAGCTCCTGTGCTAGAGTGCCCCCTTCAGGAAGTAGCAGGAACTGAAGGTATTGTTAGAGTTCATGTTCCCTTCTCCCTCACTGATCTCTCTCAAATTAACAAAAGACTCAGTTCATTTTCAGAAGACCCGACCTCTTATATTTGGGAGTTTCAGTACCTTATGCAGTCTTATGAACTAACCTGGCATGACCTCTACATTATCCTCTCTTCCACCCTCACCCCAGAAGACTGGGACCATATCTGGACCCTAGCTCAGGTATACGCTGATACAATTCATCACCAAGCTCCTGCCCAGCCTACTGGTGCAAAGGGGGTCCCCAACCAGGACCCCCACTGGGATTATCAAAACGGGGGCCTCTGGATGCCGCCATCAAGACCACATGATTGTGTGTCTTCTTGCAGGACTCAAAAAGGGTTCCCATAAAGCAGTAAACTATGAAAAACTTTCAGAAATCACCCAAGGTCCTGACAAAAACCCAGCCCTTTTTCTCTCTCATTTAACTGAAACCATGAGAAAATATACCAACCTAGACCCAGTCAGCCCAGAAGGAACCACCATTTTAAACCTTTGGTTCATCTCCCAATCCACCCCCGATATTTGGTGCAAGCTTCAGAAACTTGACGACAGCCCTCAAACCCCACAACGAGACCTTCTTAATTTAGCCTTCAAAGTCTTTAACAATCATGATGAGGAAAGTAAAAGGCAAAAACACGCAGAGTTTCAAATGCTTGCCTCTGCCATTAGAGGCCCTGCAGGCCCACGAGGCCACAGCTCCACACAGAAGCCTCCTAGCAATCCACCTCCACTTGGCACCTGTTTCAAGTGCGGCAATGAAGGCCACTTGTCCAAACAATGCCCAAACCCAAGTAAGACCACCAAGCCGTGCCCCCTCTGCAGAGGACCCCACTGGCAGTGGGACTGTGAGCAGCCCCCGCAAGGACTGCCCCATCCCTTCCTGAGCTGGCCAGAACCTCCTACCCGGATCTCATTGGCCTAGCCGCTGAAGACTGATGGTGCCCTGGAACGGACACCCCGGCAACTACCATCGCTTCATCCAAGCCAAGGGTAACCCTGATGGTGGCGGGTAGGCCAGTATGTTTTTTTAATTAATACCGAGCAACCTACTACTCTGCTTTACCTAATTTTTCAAGACCCATCCAGTCCTCCCAAGTCTCTGTTGTGGGAATTGATAGAGAAGTCTCCAAACCCCGAGCCCCCCACTTCATTTTTCTGCTCCCTGAACACCTTTTCCTTCACTCACTCTTTCTTAGTCCTGCCCTCGAGCCCATCTCCGCTCCTAGGCAGAGATATCCTTTCAAAACTTCACAATACTCTCCACTTCCACGTTCCCCATCGTATCCAACACATCAACCCAGACCCCTCTGGGGCTTCTAACTTTCTTCTACTCCTCCAACCTCCCACCTTAAAACATGCAACCTTTTCTTATCCCCCATCCGTAGTTAACCCCGCTTTTTGGGATACTTCCACACCCTCAGTCGCAGAACACCATAGCCCCGTCCACATTACCCTTAAACAGCCCACCCATTTCCTATCACAGAAGCAGTATCCCATCCCCCAAGCAGCTCTCATATGCCTAAAGCCTATCATTTCTCACCTCCTCACCAGTCATCTATTCTGCCCAACAAACTCCCCTTGTAACACACCAATTCTACCTGTTAAAGAGCCAGATGGAACTTAATCACTTAGTCCAGGACCTCAGGCTCATTAACCAAGCTGTACTCCCAGTATGTCCAGTAGTTCCTAACCCATGTACTTCACTTTCCGCAGTTCCCTCCAATACCACCCATTTTTCTGTCCTAAACTTAAAGGATGCTTTTTCACAATTCCTTTACACCCTGATTCCCAAAACCTCTTTGCCTTTACGTGGGAAAACCCTGACACCCACATTTCACGTCCACTCACCTGGTGCGTACTACCTCAAGGTTTCAGAGACAGCGCCCACCTTTTCAGACAGGCCCTTGCTTGTGACCTCTGTACCTTATCCCTAAAACTGTCCACTCTCCTTCAATGTGTTAATGATCTGCTCCTGTGTAGCCCCTCCCAAAGAGACTGCAACGCCCATAGTATCTCTCTCTTTTAAACTTCTTGGCAGAACAGGGGTATCAGGTCTCCCCTAAGAAAGCACAAATATGCACCCCCTCATTCACTATCTAGGCCTAGCCCTTACCCCGCTAACCTGAGGGCTCACAACCGACCACGTATCCCTCCTCCAGTCCCTCCCGCCTCCACAAACTAAGCAAGACATTCTCTCTTTTCTAGGACTAGCAGGATATTTTAGACTCTGGGTTCCCTCCTTTGCTCTACTTGCCAAACCGTTATGCCAAGCCACTAAAGGCCCTCTCCATGGGCCTTCAAACCCTGCACAGCCTATTACCCAACCTTTCCATCTACTCCAAAAGGCTCTCATCTCAGCCCCTCTCCTCACTCTCCCAGACCTCACCAAACCTTTCTCCCTCTATAGCGATGAACGGCGTGGAGTTGCATTAGGCGTTCTAACCCAGTCTAAGGGACCCACTCTCCAGGTTGTTGCCTACCTCTCTAAACAGCTTAAAGCCACAGTTCCCGGATGGCCTGCCTGTCTCTGAGCATTGGTGGCAGCTGCTCTCCTTTTAGGCCTTGAAAGCCTAAAACTTTCTGTCCATGCCAACCTAACAGTTTATTCAACCGATAACATCAAAGACATGCTGGCTCACCGCAGTGTACTAAGTCTCTTCTCTGCCCCACAGCTCCTCCAACTGTATGCTCTATTCATTGAAACTCCCCACATCACCATGCTAACCAGCTCCCATCTAAACCCAGCCATGCTCTGTCCCTATCCTTGTTCTCTCCTCTTTACTCCTCAGAAGAAAAGGAGGACTTCCGGGCCCAAAACCTTCAAAAGCAAGGACCATGGTATGTCAAGAAACGGAGCTTTATTCTTCCTCACTCTCAAAGCCTTCCTCACCTCCAAAGCCTCCACAACTCTTTCCATGTTGGTTACAAACCTCTCCTGCAACTTCTCCGCCCTATTCTCACTTGTCCTCACCTTTCCAGCCGTGTTTGAGAAATTACCCAGTCCTGCTCTATCTGCCACTCAGTGTCACCCCAGGGCTCCCTCCTGCCTCGGACTTTTCCTACCCACCAAGCCCAGGGCCAGGTACCTGGGCAAGATTGGCAAGTAGACTTCACTCACATGCCACCCGATAAACAGCTCTGCTATCTTCTAGTCTTTGTCTGTACTTTCTCCGGGTGGGTAGAAGCATTCCCAACAACTTCACAAACTTCAGAAAGTGCAAATATTGTCACACAAACTCTCATCATGCATATAATTCCCGGTTTCGGACTCCCAATAGCCATCCAGTCCGATAACGGACCTGCCTTCACCAGCCAAATTACCCAAGGCGTCTCTACATCCTTAGGTATAAAATGGGTCCTCCACACACCCTACAGGCCTCAATCTTCAGGCAAAGTTTAAAAAGTTATCTCTGTCCTTAAAGCCCAACTCACCAAGCTGGCTCTAGACACCCACCAGTCGTGAACAAAAAAATCTCCCTTTTGCCCTCATGAGACTCTGCACAACACCAAAGACATCCTCTTTTTATAGTCCCTTTGAAATCATGTATGGCCAAACTTTTGTTTTGGGGCCTCCACCCTTACCAGACTCTGAGCCACTCAAGAATTACCTCCCTTCCTTAATCCAGACATGGTCTTTCATTTGTGAAGCAGCAAATGAGGCCATGCCTCTCCCTGTCAACACCGCCTTGTCCTCTCAACATAACTGTCTTGCAGGCACAGATGTGTTTCCAGACAATCCAAACAATGCTCCTGCTAGAACGACGTGGTGGCTACCAACCCATCTCTCAAGAATACCCAAAAAATTAAGGTTTTCTTTTTCCAAGGTGTCCACGCCACCCCCTATGTCATGCCTGAAGTAGTTATTGAGAAAGTCATTCCTTTTCCCTTTGCTATAACCAAATAGACAAGAATGTAAGATTCTCCCCAGGGCCTGAAAGCCTAAGGGGATGAGTGACTCCTGCCTGCTCAGGCCCAGTCCCAAGGCGCAAGGCCACCTGCATCAGCAGCGTGTGTCAGCAAGACAGCAGAAGCAGGAAGAGAGCCAGCCGGAAGTCACGTACGCCTGAAGCTCAAGAAAGAGGCCATCCAGGTACGACGTAGCAGTTACGTCAGACTAGGACACTTCCTGTTTATAAAATCTTTGCCTCATCTTCACTTGGGGCTGACACCATTTTAGGCCTCAGCCCGCCTGCACCCAAGTGCTCATTAAAACAGCATGTTGCTCCAAAAAAAAAAAAAAGATTGAAACTGGCCCAATAGTCTCATAGACTATTCTTTTTGATTAACACAGAAATTGACCCTTCTGGTCTCAGCTTGAAGGTTATATTTATTTTATCAGAGTTCCTTCCTCAGGAAAGGTCCTTCAGGCCTCTCAAAATATAAGTATCAAAGAACTGAAAGTCACCAGATCACGGCACCAGGTGACTGCTTCCTTGCCCCTCCCCAGTTCTTGTTTTCTTACACATTGTTACACTTCGTCCCTGATATATAAACCTGGCATTTTAGTAGTCAGGGAGATGGACTTGAGACTGAGCTCACATCTCCTTGGCTGCAGCATCTGACTAAAGCTTTCTTCCTTGGTGATACTCGTCGTTTCAGTGATTGGCTTTCTATGCAGCAAGCAGCAGGACCTAGACCAAACCACTCATGTTTCAGTAACAAGATCTCTGTCCCCAGGCTACAGGTTCACTCACAGTGAACTCAGGTGAAGGTGCAGACCTTAGAGTCAGATAACAGTGAGTTTGAGTTGAAGGAAAGCATTAAGCCTCAGTTTCTTCCTAAACAGGAAAAGTACAGCATCTCTTAGGACCTTAGTGAGACAAAATTATGTAATACAATGAATGCAAAGTGTCTGGTCTGAAGTGAGCATGGCCTTCAGCAAATAACTTCTGTGAGCCTAAATTTTTTAATCTATGACTTTGATATAGTAGAATAGTGGTTTGTTATGAAATGAAATAGTGTACAAACACAACAGACACACAGTACTTCTCCACTTCCTGCCCCTGCCCCTGCCCCCAGCCCCAGCCAGCCAATCACAACTTTTACATTACAAAAAAGTCTGTTTCAATTTCCTGATGCATTTCTGTGAAGAGTAACTCACCACAGTAATGAGCAAAGATTAATTTAAAACATAAATAGAGCTTAGGCAACATAGGAAGACTCTGTCTCTACAAAAAAATCTTTTTATTAGCCAGGTGTGGTGCCACATGCCTGTGGTCTCAGCTACTTGGGAAGCTGAGATGGGAGGATCACTGGATCCTGGTAGGTTGAGGCCGTGCAGAGTCATGATTGTGCCACTGCACTCCCGCCTGGGTAACAGAGCAAGACCCTGTCTCAAACGCACACACAAAAACACACACACATAAATAGGCCGGGTGCAGTAGATCACACCTGTAATCCCAGCACAGCACTTTGGGAGGCCAAGGTGAGAGGATTGCTTGAGCCTAGGAGTTCAAAGTTTCAGTGAGCCATCATTGTGCCACTGCACTCCAGCCAATGCGACAAAGCGAGACTCCATCTCAGAAATAAATAAAATGAAATAGGGATGAAAAATATATGAGTGAAGAAAAAAATGACCATCTTAAGAAAAAAACCTGAAAAGTCCAAATGCATGAGACAATATTGTAGCATATATGCAACCTTCAAAATATGCCCAGTGGTATATCACTGGTTTCTTTCTCCGATTAATAAAGAAAAAAAGTTTGGGGGAAGAGTCTAATTTTTGGAAATTGGGCCACTTGTACCATAGTTTATTCTTCTTAAAAAATTATGACTTCACTTTTATGTTAAATATTTGTTTGAAACAAGCTGAGGCAAGTTTTATTAAAGAAAAATTTTGCTTGATGGCTGGGCACGGTGGCTGATGCCTGTAATCCCAGCACTTTGGGAGGCCGAGGCGGGCAGATCACTTGAGGTCAGGAGTTCAAAACTAGCCTGGCCAACATGGTGAAACCTCTTCTCTATTAAAAATACAAAACTTAGCTGGGCATGGTGGCAGGCGCCTATAATCCTAACTACTTGGGAGGCTGAGGCAGGAGAGAGAATTGCTTGAACCTAGGAGGCAGGGCTTGCAGTGATCCAAGATCACATGCCACTGCACTCCAGCCTGGACAAAAAAAAAAAGAAAAAGAAAAAAAGAAAAAGAAAAATTGTGCTTGTTTTACTTTTCACCAGTCTGCTCTGGCATGCTACTAATGATATCAGAATGGGGTCAATGATAGCCAGTGTGTGCAGTATTTTCCCCAACCTGTGCCCAATTCCAAATTATTGCCACTGTGGTGATGGACACCAGTTTTGGCCAGTGTGGCATTGTACTTTATTTTATATTTCCTCAAAGCTGGGCAGTTGTGGTGAGGTCAACTGATTTCGCTTTGCCTTGTCTGATCATATTCAGAGTCTGCTTGCATCCCAGCATGTACTATCCACTTTTCACAATGAGTTGGAACCTAGAGTTTATCAACTCTAGTGACTTTTTCATCTTCACTGCAGCCAGCATCTTCCTGCCTTAGAGATGCGATGCCCCCCAGTCAAGAGCAGCCACCAAGATAGCCAGGGAGCAAGAAAGGAAGGAGTTCTCACAATGCAAAGTTCTTCACAGCCTACATTAAATAGTTTTTAAAATCATAGTCTCCGGTTCTGCCTATTGGGTACATTCCTCATTTTTGCAGGCTTTAATGACTTCCCACTAAAATGTAACAGGTTTATAATGGGGTTCTATAGACATATATATTACTGGTATACTAAAACCTGATTTTCCGAGTGCTATTTATACTACTTCCCAATCCCACTATTCAGCTACTTATACAAAATCCTCATTCATATATTCTAGTACTTTCTTTTAGTTGGGATGTAAATGTGTTGTTAATTAATTTACTTAAAAGGGCATCAAATGCCATTACCTTGTTAAAGGGTGCCAAAGATTTAAGCAAAATATTCAGTGGGGCTGGGTACAGTGGCTCACACCTGTAATCCCAGCATGTTGGGAGTCTGGGGCGGGTGGATCATTTGAGACCAGGAGTTCGAGACCAGCCTGGCCAACATGGAGAAACCCCATCTATACTAAAAACACAAAAATTAGCCGGGCATAGTGGCGAGTGCCTGTAATCCCAGCTACTCTGGAGGTTGAGGCACGAGAATCGTTTGAGCCTGGGAGGCAGAAGTTGCAGTGAGCCAAGATAGCACCACTGCACTCCAACCTGGGTGACAGAGCAAGACTCTGTCAAAAAAAAGAGAGAGAAAGGGAGAGAGAGAGACAGAGAAAGAAGAAAGAAAGAAAAGAAAGAAGAAAGGAAAGAAAAGAAAGAGAGAAGGAAAGGAAAGAAAGAAGGAAAGAAAGAAGGAAGGAAAGAAAGAAAAGAAAGAAAGAAAGAAAGAGAAAGAAAGAAGAAAGAGAAATGTTCAATGGGTTCTGAGGCAATTGGTCTAAGAGAGTTGTGGAGGGCAAGACCACACCCTCTGTGATGGTGCAGTTCTTCCCTTGGAGGTGTGGCAGTCCTCCTGAGGGGAGACGGATTCTAGAACAGAAAATAATGTGGGGCAGTGCACCTTTCATTAGAAGGAGGAAGGAAAACCTTTCCTTTATCTTGTCTTCTGCCATTCGGCTTAGACTCTGAGAGTAGAGAATCTTAACGCTACACACAGTAGTAGTGGGACTGAGACTTGGGCTATAGCAGTGTTGGTTTGGGGCCAGTCAGAGAAAGTTCCATAAAAGACCCTGAGTAAGGGTCTGGCCCTTATAGTTTTTTGTTTTGTTTTGTTTTTAACTTTAATTTTAGGCCGGGCCCAGTGGCTCACACCTGTAATCTCAGCACTTTGGGAGGCCGAGGTGGGTGGATCACCAGGTCAGGAGTTCAAGACCAGCCTGGCCAACATAGTGAAACCCATCTCTACTAAAAATACAAAAAAAAATAGCCAGGCGTGGTGGCAGGTGCCTGTAGTCCTAGCTACTTGGGAGGCTGCGGCAGGACAATCGCTTGAACCTGGGAGGTAAAGGTTCGCAGTGTGCCAAGATTGCGCCACTGCACTCCAGCCTGGGCAACACAGCGAGACTCTGTCTAAAAAATAAATAAATAAGTAAAATAAAAAACTTTAATTTTTAAGTTCAGGGATACGTGTGCAGGTTTGTTACATAGGTAAGTCTGTGTCATGGGGGTTTGGTGTACAGATTATTTCATCACCCAGGTATTAAGCCTAGTACCCATTAGTTATTTTTCCTCATCCTCTCCCTCCTCCCACCCTCCACCCTCCTGTAGACACCAGTGTCTGTTGTTCCTTTCTTTGTGTTCATGTGTTCTCGTCATTTAGCTACTACTTGTTAGTGAAAACATGCATATTCAGTTTTCTGTTCCTGGATTAGTTTGCTAAGGATAATTGTTACAGGTAGTTAGGCATGAGCAGGGGTCAGGAGAAGACTCCCCAACCCACTAGGAATGTGGATGATGGTTCAGTAATTATCACATCACCTCTCTAAAAGTGATACATTGGCAGCCGGTGCCAGGGAGAGGCCATTTCCTGATGGTCCACACCTTTTGCACTAAGGTGTTAATTGAATACAGACACCAGGGCGAAGCAACTTCCCAGGCATGCGCATTAAGAGACAAAATGGTGGAGTATGACCCTCCAAGAAAACACCACCAAAAAAGGGGAGAAAGCTTCAGATGGGCATGTGTACAACTTCCTAAACACGTGCACCCAAAGATAAGGAGGGCGCTGTGTGTGTAGGCAGCCCATCCTAAGGGAAGAGTCATGGGAAAGCCAGCCTATAAAGTTCCAGGGTCAAGGTTAAACACCACACTTGATCTCAGTGCCTGCTTGGGTCTCTTACAAGCCTACTCTCCTTTTCTTTCTTTCCTGTTCTAAAGCCTTTTAAATAAACTTCCACTCCTGCTCTGAAATTTGTTTCGGTCTCCTTTTCTGCCTTATACCTCTCAGTTGAATTCTTTCTTCTGAGGAGGTAAGAATTGAAGTTGCTGCAGACCCATACAGATTTGCCACCAGTAACTCAGATACCTTCCACCAGTAACATAATGGCCTCCAGCTCCATCCGTATTCTTGCAAAGGACATGCTCTCATCAATGGAAGACTAGATAAAGAAAATGTGGTACATATACTCCATGGAATACTATGCAGCCCTTGTAGTTTTGCATTACTCTTAGCTTTCCGTATCTGTAAAGCATTCAGTAAAGCTACATCAATTGTCAGGCCATGAGCCATCCAGCTTCTTTCTCTTTGGAGACCAGATGTCCCAAATTATCATCACAGTCTCATGGATTAAGAACAGCAGATAGCTGGGCACAGTGGCCCATGCCTGTAAACCCAGAACTTTGGGAGGCCAAGGTGGGAGGATCACTTGAAGCCAGGAGTTCCAGACCAGCCTGGGCAACACACCAAGACCCCATGTCTACAAAAAAAAATTTTTTTAATTAGCTGACTAGTGGTGGATGTCTATAGTCTAGCCACTCAGGAGACTGAAAAATACATAAATGGCCAGGTACGGTGGCTCATGCCTGTAACCCTAGCACTTTGGGAGGCTGAGGCGGGTGGATCGTCTGAGCTCAGGAGTTCTCGACCAGCCTGGGCAACACAGTGAAACCCCGTCTCTGCTGAAAAATACAAAAAATTAGCCGGGCGTGGCAGCATGTGCCTGTAATCCCGGCTACTGGGGAGGCGGAGACAGAAGAATCACTTGAACCCGGGAGGCAGGGGTTGCAGTGAGCCGAGATCGCACCATTGCACTCCAGCCTGGGTGGCAGAGCGCGTCTCCATCTCAAAAACAAACAAACCAACAAAAAAAAACCATAAACATTTAGTCTGGGTGCAGTGGCTCACGCCTGTAATCCCAGCACTTTGAGAGGCCAAGCCTGGCAGATTACTTGACATCAGGAGTTAAGACCAGCCTGGCCAACATGGCAAAACCCTGACTCGCCTAAAAATACAAAAATGAGCTGGGCATGGGGGTGCATGCCTTTAATGCTGGCTACTCGGGAGGCTGAGGCACGATAATTGCTTGGACCTGGGAGGTATAGGTTGCAGTGAGCTGAGATTGTGCCAGTGCATTTCAGCCTGGGTGACAGAGCAAGACTGTCTCAAAAAAATAAAAATAAACATTTACACAAGATATTTTAGTTTTCTCTTGCTTCATAAAAAAAAAATCACTCTAAAATTTAGTAGCTTAAAATAACAATGATCTATTATTTCTCTTGATTCTGTAGGTTGACTGAATTTAGCTGGGTGGTTCTTCCACTCCACTTGTTGTATTTGAAGTCACTCATGAGGCTATGTTCAGCCCGAAGCACACCTGGGGCCAAACCATTCCAGAGAAGCTCATCTTCTAGAGTGTCTCTCCACATGGCTCTCATCATTCAGTGGTCTGGCCTGAGCTTTTGTACAGCACAGTGGCTGACTTCAAAGATGTTGAAGGTGGAAGCTTCCAGAACACTTAAAGCCTAAGTGTGGAAGTGGCAGAGTCACACAGGATGCATTGTATTGATTAAAGGAAGTCACCAGGCCACCTCAGTTAAAAGGAAGGGAAAATAGACTACTTGATGGGAGAAGCAGCATGAGTGCATAGGGTAGGAGAAATTGTTGATGGCCATGTTTGCAGACAAACTACCACACACAGTAATATATAAGATCATTATATGTATTTCCTCTCTGTCTCTTTAAACAGCTATCAAAGAATTTGTCCTTATTTTATTGTTTTTTAACTTTTCAGCATGAACCCACAGGACATAGAGAGTCCATTTTCCTTCTTTTTTTCCTTCTTTCTCTCTCTCTCTTTTTCTTTCTTCCCTTTTTCTTTCTTTCTTTCCTTTTTCTTTCTTTCCCTCTCTTCTTTCTTTCTCTCTCTCCTCTCCTCTTTTCTTTTCCTTCTTTTTCTCCAAGAGACAAGTTTTTGCTCCATTGCCCAGGCTGTAGTACAGTGGTACAGTCATAGCTCACTGTAGCCTCTTAACTCCTATGCTCAAGCAATCTTCCTGCTCCGGCCTCCTGAAGTGGTAGGATTAGGGTGTAAGCCACTGCACCTAGCCTAATTGTCACATCTAAATGCAGTAACTTTTCCACAACTTTGTGAAGGTAGCAATTTATTTTGAAATAAAATTTACATAGCCCAGATCCTCTCTCAGTTGTGTTTGCAGCTGCTCAGCCATCTCTTTCTGGTATCAATGCCACCTCTAGCTTGCTGAGCTCCAGGCAAAAGGCAGGGGGCTGGTAAGGAACAAGTTTTCTATACCACAGCTCTTTCTAAGCTGATTGCCTGCAAATCAAGCAGGGAGTGAAGAAATCTTATCACTACAGGCCTGGCACTCTGGCATTCCTTGAAACCAGACATTGTTAGAAGTTCACTAAACTTTTATTTTTCAAATGTCTCATCCAGCATCTGGTGTGAGAAATTGTGTAGGACTTTAACACTGATCTTGGAGTTTCCAGAGTATAGCTTTTGGTGCTTGAAGGAGGCACGTGAAGCCTATCTGACTGCCCTATTTGAAGTTACTAACTAGTATGTGATCCTAGTATAATAATTATGAAAAAAGACATCCAGCCATTCCCTAGTATATATACAAAAAGAGCTTAAAATCCACTGTGATCAGGTGCATCTCATTCTCAAACAAAACAAAACATGTTTGTCTTCCCTGTTATTATTTATTCTGACCATTAGATATTTGGTGGGGGCAGGGAGAGAAGTTAAAAGGTATCTAAATATATTATTGTTACATTAGACTGGGTGGCTTAAAAAACAGAAATGTACTTTCTCACAGTTCTGGAAGCTCTAAGTTCAAAATCAATATGTCACCAGGCTTGGTTCTACGAATAAGACCTCAAAAGCACAGACAACAGAAGCAAAAATAAACAAATGGGATTATATCAAACTAAAAATCTTCTGCACGGCAGAGGAAACAATCAAGAGAGTGAAAAGACAACCTACAGGATCAGAGAAAATATTTTCAGACTACTCATCCCACAGGGGATTAATATCCAGAAGATACAAAGAGTTCAAACATCTCAATAGCAAAAAACAAAACAAGAAAACGTCTGATTATAAAGTAGGCAAATGATCTTAACAGAAAGTTAAATACCGCATATTCTCACTCACATGTGGAAGCTAAAAAAAGTTGATCTAATAGAAGTAAAATGTGGAACCAGAGGATATTAGAGACTGGGAAGGGGAGGATAGGTAGAGATTTGCTAAAGAATACAAAATTACAGCTAGATAGGAGGATAAGTTCTAGTGCTCTGCAGCATTGCAGGTTGCTTATAATTAACAATAATGCGTTGTATAGTTTCAAATAGCTAGAAGAGAGGATATTGAATGTTGCTCTGTGTGTGTGTGTTTGTGTGGGTGTGTGTGTGTGTTTTAAGATGGAGTTTTGCTCTGTCACTTAGGCTGGAGGGCAGTGGTGCAATCTTGGCTTACTGCAACCTCCACATCCCCGGTTCAAGCAATTTTAGTGCCTCAGCCTCCCAAGTAGCTGGGATTACAGGTGTGCACCACCATGCCCAGCTAATTTTTGTATTTTCAGTAGAGATGGGGTTTCACCATGTTGTCCAGGCTGGTCTCAAACTCCTGACCTCAGGTGATCCCCCAGCCTCCGCCTCCCAAAGTACTGGGATTACAGGCGTGAGCCACTACGCCTGGCAGGATATTTGCTAGAGCAGGAGCACCGTCATCTCGGACAAACACCACCACTTTAAGTTCCAGCTCCCTTTCTAGCCTCATGCATTTCAAGGAAATCACTTCTCTTCTAACTACAAGCAGCCAGAAAGAGCAGACAGTAAAACACAGATAAGACCGCTTGGAAACAGAGGGAGGTGAGGAGAAAGTCTCTTGGGTAACTGCCAAACTTCACCCTCATACAATGGGCCCCAGTAAGACAGTGGGCCTTAATAAGCACTTTTCTTTCCCTTCAGGAATACTAAGATAGAGAAGCTAAAAGCAGACTTGGGGGATATGCCTGCAGCTGCAAAAAGGTGTATGGGAATAGAAACGCAACTGTCCCTCCCAGATAAGCACAACAAAGAGACACAGAAGCAGTCCAAGCCTCTTATAAACTCTCCTATCCTGAATCTTTAGAAACTCTTAGTCTGTTAGAGAGTGTGGCTCTGACCTAACTCAGCCAACCGCCCTTCTCAGGTTTATTTAAAATAAACCTGCCCCTGTTGACTGAAAAGCCATCCTTTGTGTTTCTCTCCTCTTTCTTTAATTCTTACAATATTAAATGTTGTCAACACAAAGAAATGATAAATCTTTGAAATT
Organism: Homo sapiens; assembly: GCF_000001405.40. NCBI lineage: Eukaryota > Metazoa > Chordata > Mammalia > Primates > Hominidae > Homo > Homo sapiens. Next base: position 83,495,939 of record NC_000004.12, on the reverse strand, counting down.
ACCAATATGCTAATTACCCTGATCTGATCACTATGCATTGTTTGTATTAAAACATTATGTAGGGCCGAGCGCCGTGGCTCACTCCTGTAATCCCAGCACTTTTAGAGGTTAGGCGGGCAGATCACGAGGTCAGGAGATTGAGACCATCCTGGCCAACACAGTGAAATACCGTCTCTACTAAAAATACGAAAAATTAGCCGGGCGCGATGGCGGGCCCCTGTAGTCCCAGCTACTCGGAAGTCTGAGGCAGGAGAATGGCGTGAACCCGGGAGGTGGAGCTTGCAGTGAGCCAAGATTGCATCACTGCACTCCGGCCTGGGCAAAAGAGCGAGACTCCGTCCCCCCCAAAAAAAAAAAACATTACGTAGCCCATGAATGTATACAATTATTATTTTTTAAAAAACGAAAAAAACATGTAATATTGACAGCAACTAATTAGATGAGTTTTGTAGCATTTTTAGCTTCTATCCATTCAGTATTCTTTTTTTTAGACAGAGTCTGGCTCTGTCACCCAGTCTGGAGTGCAGTGGAGCGATCTTGGCTCACAGCAACCTCTGCCTCCTGGGTTCAAGCAATTCTCCCGCCTCAGCCTCCCTAGTAGCTGGGATTACAGGAGTGTGCCACCATACCAGGCTAATTTTCGTATTTTTAATAGAGATGGGGTTTCACTGTGTTGACCAGGCTGGTCTCGAACTCCTGACCTCAACTGATCTTCCCACCTCGGCCTCCCAAAGTGCTGGGATTACAGGCGTGAGCCACCACATCCAGCCCATTCAGTATCTTTTTATAATTAAATTTAATTTTTTTAAGTATGTTTTTTATATATATGTTTATACATATTATATATGTGTTTATATATTTTATATATGTTTATATATAAAACATAAATATATATTTATATATAAAAATATAAAAACTATATATAAAATATATATAAACATATAATGTATAAACATGTTTATATATTTTTTAAATATTTATATATAATTTATATATATTTATATATAAATATACTTATAAAAATTATATATAATTTATACATATTTATATATAAATATACTTATAAAAATTATATATAATTTTTAAAAATATATATATAAATATATTTATAAAAATTATATATAATTTTTAAAAATATTTATATATAAACATATATATCAACATATATAAAAAATATATATAAACATGTTTATATATATATATACATGTTTATATATATATATATATATATATATATATATATATATATATATTTTTTTTTTTTTTAGACAGAGTCTCACTCCGTTGCCCAGGCTGGAATGCAGTGGTGCAATCTCAGCTCACTGCAACCTCTGCCTCCCAGGCTTAAGCGATTCTCGTGCCTCAGCCTCTGGAGTAGCTGGGATTACAGGCGCCTGACACCATGCCTGGCTAATTTTTGTATTTTTAATAGAGATGGGGTTTCACCATGTTAGTGAGGCTGGTCTCCAACTCCTGGCCTCGGCCTCCCAAAGTGCTAGGATTACAGGCCTGGGCCACCGGCCATTTCCACAATGTTGTTTTTTTTTTTTTTTTTTGAGATTGAGTCTTGCTCTGTCGCCCAGGCTGGAGTGCAGTGGCGTGATCTCAGCTCGCTGCGACCTCCACCTCCTGGGTTCAAGCAATTCTCTTGCCTCAGCCTCCTGAGTAGCTGGGACTACAGGTGCATGCCACCACACCCAGGTAATTTTTTGTATTTTTAGTAGAGACAGGGTTTCACCATGTTAGCCAGGATGGTCTCAGTCTCCTGACCTTGTGATCCGCCCACCTCGGCCTCCCAAAGTGCTGGGATTACAGGCGTGAGCCACCACGCATGGCCTTTTTTTTCTTTCTTTCTTTCTTTCTTTCTTTCTTTCTTTCTTTCTTTCTTTCTTTTCTTTTTTTTTTCTTTTTTTTTTTGAGACACAGTCTTGCTCTGTCTCCCAGGCTAGAGGGCAGTGGCACGATCTCGGCTCACTGCAACCTCTGCTTCCTGGGTTCAAGTGACTCTCCTGCCTCAGCCTCCCAAGTAGCTGGGATTACAGATGCCTGCCACCACTCTCGGCTAATTTTTTGTATTTTTAGTAGAGACAGGGTTTTGCCACATTGGCCAGGCTAGTATCAAACTCCTGACCTCAGGTGATCCACTCGCCTTGGCCTCCCAAAGGGCTGAGATTACAGGTGTGAGCCACCGCACCTGGCTGTTTCCACTCTTTTAAGATAAATTCTGGGCCCGGCGTGTTGGCTTACACCTGTAATCCCAACATTTTGGGAGGCTAAGGTGGGACGATTGCTGGAGCCCAGGAGTTGGAGATCAGCCTGGGAAACATGGCGAAATCCTATTGCTACAAAAATTAGCCTGGTGTGGTGTTGCATGCTTGTAGTCCCAACTGCTCAGGAGGCTGAAGGGGCAGAAACACCTGAACCCAGGGAGGTTGAGGCTGCAGCGAACCATGATCGTGCCACTGCACCACAGCCTGGACAACAAAGTGAAACCTTGTTTCAAAACCAAAAAGACAAATTCTAAAATCCTATGCTACAACAGCCAGCATGGTCTGGCCCTTCTCACTAGCCAGCTTTTACCTCCTGCCTCCCTCCCTCTCACACTCCAGGTTTTAGAATCTTCTAATTGCCTCAGGGTGTTCACACATGGTGTTCCTTTAACTGAGAACACTCCTCCCCACTTCTTTTCCTTTTCCCAAGTATCCAGGTCCTTGAGAAGACTTTCTCTGATCCCAGCAATAGGGGAGTGGGTATCTCAGTTACCCTTGCTTCTAGTTTTCTATTTTTCCTACTACGTATTTATTAGAATCGTAATTATGTCATCATATGAGAGATGATGTATGTAATTTTCCTTTCCCCCACTGGATTATAAATACTATTAGGGCAGGCACTATCTCTATTTTGTTATTCAATGTACCTCCAGCAACTAGCACAGTGCCTGATGTAAAGCAGGCAGTCAATAGCTGTGAATTCATGACCATAAGGAAAGTGGAAAGCAAGATTTTTGCCCTTTAAGAGATGAGAATTTTCCTAGGGAAAGAAAAAAAAATCCAGGAAACACTTAGCTGTGCCCAACTATGCCCAGCAGTTCAATAATTAAGAACCAAAATGCCAGGTACAGTGGCTCACAACTGTAATACCTAATCTCAACACTTTGGCAGGCCAAGGCGAGAGGATCACTTGAACCCAGGAGACTGAGGCTGTAGTGAGAAGCTGGGCAACAGAGCAAAACCTAGTCTCAAAAAAAAAAAAAAAAAAATGACATGGCCAGGAAAGATATCATAAATCCAGGGTAAGTTTTTTTAATACAGATTAAGGTGATGCCTTTTCCAATGATTAAGTCTCTAAAGATTTAGTCGTCCTTCTCTTCCTGATTCAGAGAGGGAGATACACTTACAAATAGATATTTCCTTTATAGCTTTAAATTTCTCTTACAAAAGGGTAACTTTCCAGAACTGCTCCTATGTCTGTCGTTTCTCAAAATAACCAGCTCAAAATAATTCTTATGACAAAGAGGCATATTTGGGATAGCACATTCTGGATTCTACAGTCCTATTTTGGGGTGGTGTGTCCTGAACCCCATTAATAAGTTTAAATTACAAAAATTAATAATAAAGTATAATATGTATTTTTAAAAGTGAAAATAGATTTTGATTTTTAAATGATTTTCACTCACACCTGTAATCCCTGCAGTTTGGGAGGCCAAGGCAGGAGGATTACCTGAGCTCAGGAGTTCAAGACCAGCCTGGCCAGTATGGCGAAACCCCGTCTCTACTAAAAATACAAAAATTAGCTGGGAATGGTGCTCACCTGTAGTCTCTGCTACTTGGGGGCTGAGGCAGGAGAATCGCTTGAACCCGGGAGGTAGAGGCTGGAGTGAGCTGAGATAGTGCCACTGCACTCCAGCCTGGGCAACAGAGTGAGAATCTCTCAAAAAAATAAATAAATATAATGTAATATAATATAATAATCAAAATATACACAAATACCTATATACATTAATACACATATGAATAGATAAAAACCTGAAAGAATATAAGCCAAACCATTCACTGTAATATCTTTGGATGGAAGGATTATGGGAACTTTCTCTTATTTCATTATATAAATATATAACATACTTTTTGTCTGTTTGTGACAGCACGTTGCTCTGTTGCCCAGACTAAAGTGCAGTTGTGCCATCATAACTCACTGTAACATTAAATTCCTGGGCTCAATTAATCCTCCCACCTCAGCCACTCTAGTAGTTGGGATTACAGGTGTGAGCCACCTCACCCAGAGGCAGGTGCTTTTTTTGTTTAACCCAAGCCAGTCACTTATTCATTATTTAAACTAGCGTAAATTATTCACTGAAGCTATAGAAATTAATTTTCTACCAGAAACAACCTTATACCTAGAGTTGTCCATACAAGCTCAGATCAAACTAATGCCTCTTGGAATTTTCTATCTGAATGCCTTCTCAGGATTAGCTGAACTGACACTGCTGAAACTTTTACTTTGGTCTTGGAATTTATCCTAAGGAGGACTCTGTTGGAATTCAAATTAGCTTCTTAACCCTGTCTGCAATAATTCTTAAAGCATCAGTCAGCACTACTATTTCTGCAGTTACTTTATCTCCTTTGCCAGAGTTCTATTGTTTTTATATTTGTGGATGTGCAAGGGTATTTTTTTAAAAAAAAAACAATGATTCTTATCCAAGATACAGCATTTAAGTCATTTTTACTAAATCACCATGGATTTTCAAAGTAGCCTATTTTAACACATTATAACAGATTAAGCCCTATTAACTATTTTTACATAATAATAATCTCTGAACCCCAATCAAAGGCCTTTTCCTTCAGAACTACTATCACAGTGTCCCCTGCAGGTCACCAGGTAGAGGTGCATCCTGAGGGGGCATATTTCTTAACGGTGTTTGTGTAATTTTCCTTATGCCTCTTTAACAGATGGAATGAAATAATAACAAGTTGGAATGTTATCACATTAATACATCTTCAAATTTCCCTGGAACCTCAGATAAATTTATTTCTGTGTCTATAATCTTAGAGTTATATCAAGTTTTATCAGAGATTTTTAAAACTCTCATTACGTTTTTAATACACAAAAATATTACAAAGAAAACAAAATGTGTTTATAATAGTATTTCCCAGATAACATAGCCTTAACAAATAATACTTATCTAGGTGCAGTGGCTCACTCCTGTAATCCTAGCCTTTTGAGAGACTGAGGCGGGAGGATTGCTTGAGCTCGAGAGTTCGAGACCAGCCTGGGCCACATAGTGAGACCTCCCCATCTCAACAAACCATCAAAAAATTAGCCAGGGATGGTGGCATGTACCTGTAATCCCAGCTACTCAAGAGGCTGAGGTGGGAGAATCGCTTGACCCTGGGAGGTGGAGGCTGCAGTAAGCCATGATCACACAGCTGTACTCCAGCCTGGGCAACAGGATTGAGATCCTGTCTAAAAAAAAAAAAAAAAAAAAAAAAAAAAAAAAAAAAAAAAAAAAAAATTAAAATAATACTTGTTCACCATTAGAAATAAATCATGTCTATAATTAAAAAATGAAATTCATCATATTATATTTTGAGTATGTTTGTATTTGAAGTTTTTTTTAATTGGCAGATATTTGAAAATGTGATCTTTATGGCTCTGAAAGCCCTTTATAGGTGATATGGAAAAGCAAGCACTTTGTTTCACTTTTGATGCTCTGAAAAGCAGACACAAAGACAGGAGTCCATGTGCAAGAGAGAGACCTATTGGGGAAATGTCTGTGAAAGATAAAGGGAAGAGAGCAGGAGTAAGCAAGGAGAGGCTGCAGAAAACCATGCTTATCTGACACCTGGGAAAGGAGGAAGGGAAGGATAGGAGTCTCAGACTTCAGTGCAAGCTAACATAATCTTAGCCAGGCTGATGGAGAGTCCTTGAGCCAAAGTCCCATTACAGGAATCCTGCATCTTATAAGAATGGGCCTGTGTTAATACCCCACCATGGTCACTGATGCTGTGGCAGGGAAGGTTAGAGGGCAGCAATGCTCACAGGAGCTGAAGTGGGAGGCTTTCTGCCAACCGTGGCTCCCCCAGCAGGTTCAACCAGAGTGGAGCATGTCCATGGCCATCACATTCTCCATTCATTTTGAATAAATAGTATAATTAATAATATGCTATGAAGATAAGATATATTTCCCTTTATGATACTCATTTATTTGCAAGCATATTTGTTTAAAAGTTGATCTGTTGTGAGTGAAATCATTACTTAAAAATCATATTCTTATCCTTTTCATGCGAAAAAAATCAATATCTAAAAATTCAAATAGAAAAGTAAAAGATACAGTTTTTTCTTGCAATTATTTGAGGTTCCATTAACCCTCCTATTTAAAATAGAATACCAAAAATTTAACAGAGATGAATATTATTGGATCCCAATTTAAGCAAGCAAGCACATCCTTCTGAAGCAATCAACCCTATCATTAACATGATTCTAATACAGCAGCTAAAATGTTTCTCTTATTTTCATAGTTATTCTTCTTTCTAATTTTTTTTTTAAGAGACAAGGTCTCATTCTGTTTCCCAGGCTGAGGTGGCACAATCAAAGCTCACTCCAGCTTCAAGCTCCTGGACTCAAGCAATCCTCCCGCCTCAGCCTCCCCAGTAGCTGGGACTACAGGTGTGCACTACCACACTTGACTGATTTTTTTTTGAAACTGGGTCTGGCCCACGCTGGAGTACAGTGGCATGATCTCAGCTCACTGCAACTTCTGCCTCCTGGGCTCAAGCAATCCTCCCACCTCAGCCTCCTAAACTGCTGGGATTACAGGTGTGAGCCACCGTGCCTGGCCAACTAACTTTTTTAATTTTTTTTTTTTTTTTTGAGACAGAGTCTCACTCTGTTGCCCAGGCTGGAGGGCAGTGGCACAATCTTGCCTCACTGCACCTTTGGCCTCCTGGGTTCAAGCACCTCTGCCTCAGCTTCCCGAGTAGCTGGGATTACAGGCACACGCCACCACACCTCGCTAATTTTGTATTTTTAGTAGAGACAGGGTTTCACCATGTTGGCCAGGCTGGTCTCGAACTCCCGACTTCAGGTGATCCACCTGCCTTGGCCTCTCAAAGTGCTGGGATTACTGGCGTGAGTTGGGATTACAGGCACGAGCCACCACACCTGGACTAATTTTTTGTTTGTTTGTTTTTGTTTTGAGATGGAGTCTTGCTCTGTCACTTAGGCTAGAGTGCAGTGGCGTGATCTCAGCTCACTGCAACCTCCGCCTCCTGGGTTCAAGTGATTCTCCTGCCTCAGCCTCCCAAGTAGCTGGGATTACAGGTGCCCACCACCATGGTCAGCTAATTTTTGTATTTTTAGTAGAGACGGGGTTTCATCATATTGGCAGTCTGGTCTCCAACTCCTGACCTCGTGATCCACCCATCTTGGCCTCCCAAAGTGCTGGGATTACAGGCATGAGCCACCGCACCTGGCCTAATTTTTTAAAGTTTTTGAAGACATAGAGTCTTGCTATGTTGCCCAGGCTGGTCTCAAACTCCTGACCTCAAGCCATACTCTCTGCTCAGACTCCCAAAACACTGGAATTACAAGCATGAGTGACTGTGCCCAATCTTTTTGTTTGTTTGTTTGTTTTTGAAACAGATTCTCACTCTGTTGCCCAGGCTGGAGTGTAGTGGAAGGATCTCGGCTCACTGCAACCTCCACCTCCCAGGTTCAAGTGATTCTCCTGCCTCAGCCTTCCAAGTAGCTGGGATTACAGGCGCACGCCACCAGGCCTGGCTAATTTTTGTATTTTTAGTAGAGATGGGGTTTTGTCATGTTGGTCAGGCTGGTCTCAAACTCGTATTTCAGGTGATCTGCCCACCTCAGCCTCCCAAAGTGCTGGGATTATAGGTATGAGCCACTGTTCCCGGCCAGGTATTTCTTTATAGCAGTGCAAGAAGGGACGAATACACTCTCCCATGAGTCATTCTTTAGCATACAAAAACCAGTAAATTCCTAAGGTTTTAGAAGCTCCCACGCCAGGAACTCAGGACAAAGACTAAATATTTATTTTCTTTTTTACTATACTACAGACAAATCCTTGATCTTTGACCACTGATTCCTTATAGCAAAGAATCATAAGAGTTAAAAGATAGTTGCACATTTCTAAAACCCCATTCAATTACTAATAACCTGTCCAGTCCATCAGCCTATCATATGAAAATGCCAGGCCGGGCGCGGTGGCTCACGCCTGTAATCCCAGCACTTTGGGAGGCCGAGGTGGGTGGATCACAAGGTCAGGGGATCAAGACCATCCTGGCTAACACGGTGAAACCCTGTCTCTACTAAAAATACAAAAAATTAGCCGGGCGTGGTGGCGGACGCCTGTAATCCCAGCTACTCAGGAGGCTGAGGCAGGAGAATGGCGTGAACCCAGGAGGTGGAGCTTCCAGTGAGCCAAGATCATGCCACTGCACTCCTGCCTGGGAGACAGAGCGAGACTCCGTCTCAAAAAAAAAAAAAAAAGAAAAAGAAAAGAAAATGCCTCCCAGGGTGTGGCCACTCAGGCTTCCATTTGATCTTTTCAGGTTTCAAAAGCAGAGTTCTTAGCAATATATATCTTCATTATTTCAGGCATCTGATATAATTAAGATAAGAGACAATATCATCCCTTGCTTTGAGTTTCTTTGGAGGTCTTAATGAATATTGGATTTCCCTCATTATATAACCCGTTTATTTATTCCTTTACTCTCATCTACTATTTCTCCTTATCTCCACTCATACCCAAGCTTTTTTGGCTTCCGAAGGAGTATTTGGTTCAGCTACTGTGCTGCTCTGGGTTGCAGGAAGTAAAACTAGTGATGTGGTTCAGGACACACTACTCCAAAATATAGCACCTGAGCATTTGAGAAAATAGCAGAGCAAAGAGGTCATTTGCACCTTCCCCTCACTCCTTTTGCCCTGAAGCAGGCCATAAACCATAGAAAGAATACTCTGGCCATCTCCCTTGAGGCAGGCCATAAAACCCGGTGTCCTTCCCTGAAGTAGGTCATAAGACCATCATTTGAGAGGTACCCTCCCTTTACATAGAGAAAAGGAATATCCTTACCTCTGAAGACACCAGGACACAGAGAAGAACCTGAACAAACAGCCCATTCTAAGTTCCCCCAGTTTGTTACCATTACATCATACTCCCTTTGTGTAATCATACTCCTGCACGACTGTCCACTCTTTATCAACCCTACGACAATTGTCTTCCACCCCTTCATTGAAATTTCATTATCTACTGACTGTGGAAAGAAGACTGAAAGTCAAACATCAAATCTAGAGCCCAGAGGAACTTTGTACTAAGTTATTGACTGCTGTTTGGGCTCATCCAACTTCCACAAAGAATTCTTTGCAAGCAATCCCTCAAGCTCATCCAAAGAATCAATTGTGATCCTCAAAATTACTTACATTCCTCCATCTCCCTCTCCCTTATGAAAAAGTGTACATAAGCATCTGAACCTCATTGGATTATTGGGTAATCACTCTACTGTGATTTTCTCCAGGGCACATTAATAAATTTGTATGCCAGTCGGGAGCGCCTGTAATCCCAGCACTTTGGGAGGCCGAAGGGGGCAGATCACCCGAGGTCAGGAGTTCGAAACCAGCCTGGCCAACATGGTGAAACCTTGTCTCTAATAAAAATACAAAAAAAATAAATAAATAAGCCGGGCTTGGTGGCACGTGCCTGTAATCCCAGCTACTCAGGAGGCTGAGGCAGAAGAATCGCTTGAACCCGGGAAGTGGAGGCTGCAGTGAGCTGAGATGGTGCCACTGCACTCTGGCCTGGGTGACCAAGCGAGACTCAGTCTCAAAAAAATAAAAAATAAAATAAATTCGTATCCCTTTTCCTTCTGTTCATCTTTTCTTTTGTTAGTTCACTCCAGTGAACCTTCAGAGGGCAGAGCTTTCCCTTCACCCCTACAAAATGAAGGCAAGAAACTTAATTCTAGGGAATAAATATATAATCATTAATTATATACATATGTATTGTGTGTTACGCAGCCACAGACAACTGCTTGACAACAAAACCCACAAATGTGCCACACTAATTCAGTAGTCTGCTATTATGCTTACTTTCAGTCATTTAAGAAACATACCTTTACGTGTGTGTGTGTGTGTGTGTGTGTGTAAAATACATTTGCCAAGCCCTGGTCCACTCACCTTACCATTTACATTAAATGAACCAGCTTACTATGATTATGCCTATCATTAAACTGTCAGAACATTAAATATCCATGTATTGTTTAAATTAGGCTGAAGTTTTCTAAAAGCAAGGGAACACACACATGCACACACACAAACACACAGACACAGAACATGGCTAGAGAGTTCTAGCAAAGACAATCCCCAAATGGTTATTAGTATTCTGTAAGTTTCAGTGAGTGAAGGGTGCTAAAATGCAGCTTGAAAACCAAAACCGTGGCATATCCACTGTGGCATCGTAATGTTGCTACTCAACTCTTTTATTCTTGTAATCATTGCTTGTCTTAAAATGACCCTGTCAACCGTGTTCATTTTGATAGCTTTGCATGTTTGTGACAGGTCGCTCAGCAGGCGCAGGCCACCAAAAGCAATTCGCAGCCCTCTGCAGTGGTACCGACATGCAGCGGCCTTCCGGGAGAGGCCGGCAGCAGAAGCGAAGGAGGAGCCGAGCGCGCGGCTGGGGACCCGCCCGCGCCCGCCCTCAGCCCCCTCGCCCCGCCCCTCTGCGGAGCGCGCAGCAGCCCGTGCGCCGGCGCAGGCCCCGCCTCCTCGCTGGGCCCCGCCTCGCTGCCACCACAGGGTCTTGCCTCCGCGCGCCCCGCCCTCGTCCTCTTGTGTAGCCTGAGGCGGCGGTAGCATGGAGGGGGAGAGTACGTCGGCGGTGCTCTCGGGCTTTGTGCTCGGCGCACTCGCTTTCCAGCACCTCAACACGGACTCGGACACGGTGAGCCGAGGGACGGGGCGGGGTCCGGCGTCGCCTGGGAAGAGCCCTGCGCGCGGCCTGCCTCCCCGCTGTTGCTCCGGTCCCCGCCCGCTCCCCCGACGCCGCCGCGCCTCCTCCCTGCGGTCGCGGCTCTGCCTTCTCTCCCCCTCAGCGGTCCCTGAGGTGCCTCGTGCCCACGAAGTCTTCTCCAGCATTAGCCCTCCCTCTGCTATCCTCCGTTATTTCCCTTTTCCGACCCAAGTGTCCCACACGCTCCCATCTTTCCTCGGCGCCCCTGTAGCTGTGGAAACTTGGGCGTGAAAAGATGGAAAGTTCACGGAGCGTCTTTCCGCTGCTCTGCGGAGCCTGCGGTAAACTTTCCGTTTCTCGCGACGCCCGACAGGCGTTTGCAAAACCAGGCGGACTTTTTCATGCAGAGCAGCGTCTGTGCGTGTTTGTTGCGATGGTAGGATGGTAAGGGAATAAAAATAGATGTTGCGTCCAGTGGCAAATCTTAGTGGATGGAACAGCTTAATCTGGTATATCAGATATCTTTTTATTTGCGTTATTAAATTTGTTAAAACAGTTTTTAAAAGTACGTTGCCTATTTTCTAAAAGTTCTATGAAATTAAAGAAACGCTGTAAAACGTTGAGCTCGGAAGTAGTTAATGTCCTGTAGCACTTTCAGTAACTTGCAGAAAGAAAGTCTAAGCATCTGAAATACACTTCCCTGCTGTGTGGTACAGTTCGGAGAATACCCTGCTGAACAATGCCTAGTAATTTCTGCTAAGTTCATTTTAAGATATAACGTCTATTTTACTCAAAATTGCCTTAATATAGGTCGGGCGCGGTGGCTCACGCCTGTAATTCCAGCCCTTTGGGAAGCCGAGGCGGGTGAATCACCTGAGCCCACGAGTTCGAGACCATCGGGGACAACGTAGTGAGACCCGGTCTCTACAAAATCTAAACATTACAAAATTGCTCTTTGGCACAATCCTAATAAAGGTTGGAATTGGTATGTTTTATGTATACAATTTCAGATAACCTTACAAAGTAATACCTAATAAAGAACAAATATATGACCATTTAAAATATATGTGTAGCTGTGGAAATTATTTTGGAATACCTGTAGTGTAGATAGAGTGGGACCGTAAATCCTCGGTAGCTTAAACGATTAGCCCTTGGGAAGTACCTGAGTGCTAGGGAGGCCCCTGTTTCTCAGATCTTTTTCCTGAAGTCTTTAAAGGGTGGTTTTTCTGGCTAGTTGCACTTGCATTGCCCCCCTGCTTCCCTTCCCTGAGTTCGTCTTTTGAGTATCAAAATCAAGAACACTAGATTCTGGATATCCCCCCGCGTGATTCCAGTAAAGACTCACATTATGGAAATAATCCTTTTTTACTTTTAGGGGAAAAAAGCATTATTAATTATAAAGAATATAAAATATTTCTGTAATCACAGCACTTTGGGACGCGGAGGCAGGAGGATCATTTGAGCCCAGGAGTTCAAGACCAGCGTGGGCAACATAAGGAGACCTCATGTCTACAAAAAAATTTTAAAAATTAGCCCGGCGTGGTGGCACGTGCCTGTAGACCCAGCTACTTGGAAGGCTGAGGCAGCAGGATTGTTTGAGCCTGGGAGGTCAAAGCTGCAGTGAGTAGTGATTGCACCGCTGCACTCCAGCCTGGGTGATGACAGAGCTAGACCTCTTCTCAAAAAAAAAAAAAAAAAAGATATAAAATCTTCATTGTCAAGCACATTGGGTCTTTAAGTGTGCCTAGAGAAATTGAATTCCCCAAAACTCAGATAAATTACCACTGGGGTGGCAGAATACAAGTAGTTTTAAAAGAATCGGGCTCACAGCACTCCTTTTAGAAAGCAGACTCTGAAATTGAATTTAAATCTTTCATATTGTGCATGAGTTTTAATCAGAAAACACTAATCTTGTCATTTCGTACCTTAGAAGCTTTCTGTAACTCCCAGAAGCACATGTGGTTAAATCCAGAGTAGTCATTCGGGGTGTCCCATTATTGGCTCGTTCTTATTTATCTTTGATTTCCTTCTGCTCCAAGGCAAAGTGCTCTGCTCATTCTTCAGTGTGTGCTCATTTCTGGCTTTAAGTCTTATATGCTTCCAAGTGTGCCCAGTGCTTCATGCTCTGCCTACACAAATATTGCCCATAGCTTTAGTCTAATCTGTAGCCTCCCCAGGGCTACAGGGCTAATCTGTAGCCTCCCCAGGGCTACTCTGATTATTTCAGGCTAGACTAATCTCTTTCCCTTCCTCTCCTCTTTATTTCTACTTTTTTTCTTTTGAGGCAGAGTCTCACTCTATCGCCTGGGCTGGAGTGCAGTGGCGTGATCATAGCTCACTGCAGCCTCAACCTCCTGGGTTCACGTCATCCCAAGTAGCTGGGACTACAGGCATGTGCCACCATGCCTAACTAATGTTTCTCGTATTTTTTGTACAGACGGAGTTTTACCCTGTTGCCCAGGCTAGTCTTTAACTCCTGGGTTCAAACTATCTGCCCACCTTGGCCTCCCAGTGCTAGGATTACAGGCGTGAGCCATCTTGCCTAGCCTCTTCTCATTTTTATTTAACTCTTCATCTTTCCCAAGTAAACTAGAAGCATCTCAGATCTTTCATATGTGCCCCCGACTGGTAGCACATATTGTATACATAGTAAAATACTCAGGAAATACGGTTAGTTAAGTGAACAGTAATTCTATCAGTGTATTCTATATATTGCCTCTTTATCTTCATAGGAAGGTTTTCTTCTTGGGGAAGTAAAAGGTGAAGCCAAGAACAGCATTACTGATTCCCAAATGGATGATGTTGAAGTTGTTTATACAATTGGTGAGTTATTTATTTCTCCTATATTTGAATCATCTGTGTCTCCTATATTTGATAGTTTATGCTGAAAGGGGTCAGCGTAAATTATTATTTTTAAATTAGGAAATACAGAGGCTGGGCAAGGTGGCTCACACCTGTAATCCCAGCACTTTGGGAGGCCGAGGCGGATTACCTGAGGTTGGGAGTTTGAGACCAGCCTGGCCAACATGGTGAAACCCATCTCTACTAAAAATACAAAAATTAGCCAGGTGTAGTGGTGCATGTCTGTAATCCCAGTTACTTGGGAGGCTGAGGCACGAGAATTGCTTGAACCTGAGAGGCAGAAGTTGCAGTGAGCCGAGACTGTGCCACTGCACTACAGCCTGGGCAACAAAGCGAGACTCTGTCTCAAAAAAAGAAAAATAAGAAATATATATTAATTTTAAAATAATTTAAAAGGATATGTTGTACTCATTTTGCAGTTAAAATTATGACCATGGACTGGTCTAAAGTAAGAAATAGTATGAGACTTAGGAAGCAGATAAGATTACTGCCAGGGAAACAAGGATGAAACACCTGCTGTTTAGTAGGAAGATGGCCCGGCAATAGGAAGACCAAGGAAAAAGATAAAATGTTAAATGCTGCAGAAAAGTTGGAAGATGAGAACTGAGAAAATGCAGTAATTAGATTATTAGATGACTGAAAATCCTCAGTAATTTCTGGAGCGTAATGGGGAAGAGACCAGGCTGTAAAGGGTTTGAGGAGTGGGTGCTAAAGCAGTTATAACTGGTGGCAGCTTCTCTTTTAGGGAAAAGCAGGGGAGAACCTTTAAAATGCATAGGGAAAAAAATGGTTAAAAGAAATAAAATGTATAGGGAGTTTTCTGATTGTCTAATATAGTTTTTCTCTATATATGTGTATGTATTTTTAAACAAAATTGGTAGTGTACTTTATAAAAGGTTTGGCATCATATTGTGTCATGATCACTTTACAATGTTGCATAATCCTCTACAATATTATTTTTCATTTCTTTTCTTTTTTTTTTTGAGGCAGAGTCTCACTCTGTTGCCCAGGCTGGAGTGCAGTGGCGCAATCCCGGCTCACTGCAACCTCCGCCTCCCAGGTTCAAGCGATTCTCCTGCTTCAGCCTCCCAAGTAGCTGGGATTACAGACGTGTGCTGCCACGCCCGGCTAACTTTTTGTATTTTTATTAGAGATGGGGTTTCATTATGTTGGCGAGGCTTGCCTTGAACTCCTGACTTCAAGTGATCCACTCGCCTCGGTCTTTCAAAGTGCTGGGATGACAGGCGTGAGCCACCATGCCTGGCCTACAATACTATTTTTCATAACTGCATTGTGTTCTACCCTGTGGCCTTACTGTGATTTAAACATTCCTTTAAATATGTTATAATCAGCTGTTTCTAGTTTTTCATTATCATAAAGTATACTACAGTGAATATCCTTGTATATCAATATTTGGCGTTATCTATTATAGATTCCTAGATATGGTATTACTGTGTCACAGGGTATGAACACTTGTAAGGTTTTTGATCTGCATTAGCAGATTGCTTTCCGGAAAGATTATATCAGTTTGTACTCATACTGTATGTTATTTTTGTTTGCTACTTTACAAGTTTAAAAATAGAAATATATAAAGTAGGAAATAAAAAATTTAAACTCTCATTAGTTTCCTTAGTGGCAACTACTATTTCATGGATTCTTACTAGCTTGCAATATTCATAAAACACACAAATGTAAATGTGTGTGTGTATATATATGTGTATATATACATTTTGTTTTTGTTTTGAGATGGAGTCTCATTCTGTCGCCCAGACTGGAGTGAAGTGGCATGATCTCGGCTCACTGCAACCTCTGCCTCTCGAGGTCAAGCGATTCTCCTGCCTCGGCCTCCGGAGTAGCTGGGATTACAGGCACACGCAACCATGCCCGGCTAATTTTTTTTGTATTTTTAGTAGAGATGGGGTTTCACCATGTTGGCCAGGCTGGTCTCGAACTCCTGACCTCAAGTGATCCTCTCACCTCGGCCTCCCAAAGTGCTGGGATTGCAGGCGTGAGCCACCATGCCCGGCCAAATGTGTATACTTTTTATTTACACAAATGGGATCTTACTATATGTGCCTAATATCTCCCAAGATATCACAAGTACAGAATAGTATCTGTGTGTATAATTCATCACTCTTTGTTTTTTTTTTTTTTGAGATGAGGTCTTGCTCTTTCAGCCAGGCTGGAGTGTAGTGGCACAAACACTGGTCACTGCAGCCTTGACCTCCTGGGCTTAAGCAATCCTCCTGCCTCAGCCTCCTGTATTGCTGGGACCATAGGTATGCACCACCACGCCTGGCTAATTTTTTATTGTTTGTAGAGACAGGTTCTCACTTTGTTGCCCAGGCTGGTCTCAAACTCCTAGGCTCAAGCAATCCTCCTGTCATTACAAAGTGTTTGGATTACAGGGGTGAGCCACCATACTCGGCCCATCATTCTTTCTGCTGGCTGCATATATCCTGTTGTATAGACGTACCATAATTTTTTTAACCATCTAAGAATGATTTTCTGGGTTTTTTTGTTAACATAAACAGTATTACCATGAACATTTAGTATTGTACATTTCTTTGTGCTGTTGAGTGTATATTTGAAAGTCACACTCCTGGAGGTAGACTAGCTGATTGCCTTTTGGAAAACTTATGCCATTTTAGGCTTCTCCACAGTATATAAAAGTGCCTAGGTCCCCATACTCTTTTTTTTTTTTTTTTTTTGAAACAGAGTCTCACTCTGTCACCCAGGCTGGAGTGCAGTGGTGGGATTCCGGCTCACTGCAACCTCTGCTTCCCGGGTTCAAGTGATTATCCCTGTCTCAGCCTCCCGAGTAGCTGGGATTACCGGCGACTGCCACCACACCCAGCCAATATTTGTATTTTTAGTAGAGATGGGGCTTTGCCATCTTGGCCAAGCTGGTCTCAAACACCTGACCTCAGGTGATCTGCCCGCCCTGGCCTCCCAAAGTGCTAGGATTACAGGCGTGAGTCACCATGCCCGGCCCCCATGCTCTTGCCAACACTAGGTATTATCAAATCTTTTAATCTTTGCCAATTTGATAAGTGAAAAAAATAGCATTTTAATTTGCATTTCTTAATTACAAAAGAGGTTAAGTATTTTTTTGATACTTTTTACTTTTTTTCTTGGCCATTTTCTCTGAAAAGGATAGGCCTATTCTTTGGCTGCATTTGTACTGTTTTGCTTTTAGTGATTTGTAATCACATTACTTAAGGAAACTGGGCTTTTGTCATGTTTTATACATATGCTAATACAGTTTATAATTTTTTTTCTGTCAATAAACACTTTAATGAGAACCGAGGTCTATAATATATATAGCAGTAACCACCCTGGCCTATGCCTTCTGCTCTAGCCCAAGTCTGGGGCCCAACCAGTTACATTTAACCCACATTTGGAAAGCAGGCCATTTTCAGTGTCATCCATTAGTATCCATCTTCATAGAAGATACCAATCTGGGGCTAGAGTCTCAATGTTAACACTTTCTCTCAGGGAAAAGTTAACATGGTAACACAAACATATAAATAACTTTGAACCAACATCCTACTGTTCTTCCATCAGGAGGCCCTTAGGAGACCAACGGTTTGGTAAACACTTAGAACTTTGCCAAAATACATTAGAACACGGGAAAAGGGAAAAGGAGTAGAAAGGCTGGCAGGGCTGGGCTCACATATAATTCAGTCCTTAGATTTAAAGCCTCTTGAGCTACTCATATGTAATTTAAAGAATGATGTTCCAGGGTCCACGCCAAAGCCAGTTTGGCCAAAATCCTTTAGAATACAAAAAAGCCCTCATGTTTCCACATTTTTAAAATACCATCCAAAGTGCCCTTATAGAGATCCACATGTCCCACGATTGCCCTCTGGTTCATCACGTGAGTGCCTGCCACATCACCTGGATTAGAGGCAAGAGCCCCAGCCAAACCATATGTAAAGCTGGAAACAAAGTGAGTTAAAGTTGTGTCTTCCATCATTCCTGACAATATTAAGTGCTTCTTAGTAAAATCATAGACTGGTAGCTCTACTCCCACAACGATGGCAGCATGCTGAGCAGTTGGAACCACACTCCTCCACAGACCCCTGGTGCCTTCCTGTTGGTATATATCGATGAAGCTGCCAATCATGCTCCCTTGGAACAAACTTCCTTGAGCCTGCATTCGAATCTTTAGAACATCGGTGGGATTGGCTATAGTGGAAAATATCACCCCTGACACTACCCCACAGATCATGTTGATTAAAAGAGTTTCATCTTCTAAACGTTCTACAGATAATTGCTTCAAGCTTTGGTAAATCCCAATTTTAATGGTGCCATATGATGCTTGTCTTTGCAAAACAGGAGCAATTCCTGAATACAGAGCCAATACACCTTCCGCTTTATAGATCCAAAACAAAGCATGAAACATCCGTCTATATTTTGTTTCTTTGAAACGGACATCAATGCTTTGGCCTTGAACCTACCTGAAGTCGTGTTTTGGCAAGGTCCATGGGGAAAGTTCCAAACTCAGCAGTGATAGAGGCAAGGCGTCATATACAAAGGGTTTCCAGTTCAGACGAGACATCTCATGGCTTACAGTGGTACTTTGCTGCTGCTCAGGCTCATCAGATGACTGGGAAACTGAGGCTCCCACAGTCAGAAATGCCACTGCAGT
Source organism: Homo sapiens (assembly GCF_000001405.40). Classification (NCBI taxonomy): domain Eukaryota; kingdom Metazoa; phylum Chordata; class Mammalia; order Primates; family Hominidae; genus Homo; species Homo sapiens. The sequence continues at coordinate 83,477,460 of NC_000004.12, read as the reverse complement.
GGCAACCCGGAAGCATTAAAACCCTGTAGTTTATAATTTTACTGTAGTTTTTTTTTTTGGTTCGGACACTTGAGTTTTAAAAGCAAGCCCTTTATAGCAATACAAGATTATTTTTTAAAAATTAAAAAATAAAAGCAAGCCCTTAGAGCATTTTTTTTCCCTAATTGAAATTAGCGTGCCGCCCAAAGTATCTAACATAGTTCTAGGCATTTAATTAAGCAAATGTGTACTGAGCAACTGCATTGTGGTATTAGGTACAGTGCTAAGCTCTAAGGTATTTGCTCCAGTTATTTTAAATGTTGGATTATCACAGATGTTTAAACACGTAAAATCCAAGATCAACATATTATTCCATTGCTTTGGTTAAGGAGATTTTCATCATTTTAAATTCCTTTAACAGGTGAGTTTATTAATTGGGCACATTTAGAGCACAGCCTTTTTAGAACTCGGTGAAAATGTGACAACTTTGAATTTATCTTTTGTGTTGGACTTATTAGACCGTTATTTAGAGGAAATATAGCATTGTGGTTCCAGGCGAGGCTCTGGGTTTTGAACTCTGGCCCTACCACTGGATTGGGTGAGCCACTTATCTCTCTTTACCTGTTATATCATCTTTGAAAGGGGAATAATGATAGTATATGTCGCAGATTTGTTGTGAGGATAAAAATCAGATAATCAGTGGTAAAGTACTTCCTGGCGTGAGGTAAAGGCTCAATATGCAGCATTCAGGTGATTCTGAATTGAATTAATGTAATCATAACTAAAAATCCTTTTCTTCCAGACATTCAGAAATATATTCCATGCTATCAGCTTTTTAGGTAAGTAGTAGTGCTAGTAAGTAAATGATCCATTGTGAAAATTACTCTCTGCAAGTGAAATAGTTTTTAAAACTAACAGATTATCTTAGTTATAACCTATACATGGTGGTACTGAGTAGAATGGAAAGTTTTTTTTAAATAGCTGAAAAAATCACTTGTGTATTGTCAACCCTAGCAGTTCTTTCTCTGTATTTATATTACTTAATGCTGATCTTCATTACCTTTCCCAGGCACCAGTTTACGTTGAGAATTGCTTTTTCTTCTCACACCCAGTCACCTCATTGCATATTATAAACTCAGTAAATGAAGTGTTCTTATACATCATCAATAGCAGCCCTTTTTTCTACCCTTTTATTTCAGCATATTTTAGCAACTGGTTCCTCACTTATATTTTTTAGTGTTATTTTTTGTCTGTTAGCTGGTTATGTTCTTTTTCTTTTTGAGACAGGGTCTCACTCTGTCACTCAGGCTGGAGTGCAGTGGCGTGAACACAGCTCACTGCAGCCTTCACCTTCTGGGCTCAGGTGACCCTCTCCACCTCAGCCCCCCAAGTAGCTGGGACCACAGGCACCAGCCACCACACCCAGCTAATTTTTATATTTTGGTAGAGACAGGGTTTTGCCATGTTGCCCAGGCTGGTCTCAAACTCCTGGGCTCAAGCCGTCCTCCTTCCTCTGCTTCCCAAAGTACTGGGATTACAGGCGTGAGCCATTGCACTCAACTGGTTATGTTCTTTAACCTGTTTCTTATTGCTTTTCTAGGATGAATGCTTGCACTTAGTCCTACAGATAGTCATAGTACTGTTAACTCTAATACATTGTGTATTTTTTAGCTTTTATTGAGTATAACATACACGTAGAAAAGTACACAAATAAATGAATTTTCATAAAGCAAACACATGTAATCATGTAACCATAGCATGGTGTAATTTTAATGAAATAGTTTTATGATTTATATAAACCACGCAAGAAAAATCAGCACAAACAGCCTGGGCAACATGGTGAAACACTGTCTCCACTAAAAATACAAAAATTAGCCAGGAGTGATGGCATGCTTCTGTAGTCTCAGCTACTGGGGAGGCTGAGGCAGGAGGATCACTTGAGCTCAGGAGAAAGAGGCTGAAGTGAGCTGAGGTCATGCCACTGCATGACCTGGGTGACAGAGCAAGACCCTGTCTCCAAAAAAAGGAAAAGAAAAATCAGCATAACTATCTTACAGACTATGTACTATACACATCTTTAAAGTTATATAAGAATTACAGTGGAGCATATGGTTAAGGTGAGAACTAACTGTAGGAGGAGAACAGAAAAAAGGAGCTTAGTGTGGTCTTTTAAACTGCTATACCAAGAAAAGGCACAGTTCCTATACTGCCTTATGTGTAATGGACATACAAAAATATTTGTTAGATGACTGAGGAATTCTTAGTGGAGACTCATAAAAAGGACTTTATTGAAGGATCTTCTGGACCAACAAAGGATTTAAAGGAACAGCAAAAAGTGATTCAGTACCTTTTTCAACCACATTAATAATTAGACTAACTTAATAGAAGCTGAGACCTGAAGAAACCATCTATTTCAGTGATGAGAAACCAATGCCTGAGCCTTTTAGCTCTTACAGGATTAAAGCGGGGTGGAAAGGCATTAGGAGAGACATGTGAAATACCTCTCATTCAGAGGGTAACTACATACTTCATTAAACAACACAATAATAGGCCTGAAAAGTTCATGATTTAACCAAGACCACAGATCTAGTTAATGGTAGGGCAAAAATGAGAAGAATAAGGATTTCTTGAGCTCTAATCCAGCATCATACTATGCAGTTTCTTCCTCTTCCTGCTCTAATTACAGGGGTTGCTAAAATAGAGCCCCACGATGTAGTTTTTATGTGGCCCTCGATCTGAGACTGTTTACTACTTTTTTTTTTTTTTTTTGAGACAGAGTCTTGCTCTGTTGTCAGGCTGGAGTGCAGTGGCGCAATCTCGGCTCACTGCAACCTCTGCCTCCCAGGTCCAAGCAATTCTTCTGCCTCAGCCTCCAAGTAGCTGGGACTCCAGATGGGTGCCACCAAGCCCGGCTGATTTTTTTTGTATTTTTAGTAGAGATGAAGTTTCACCATGTTGGCCAGGATGGTCTTGATCTCTTGACCTCGTGATCCACCCACTGTGGCCTCCCAGAGTGCTAGGATTACAGGTGTGAGACACCCACGCCTGGCCTTGTTTACTACATTTTTAAAGGGTTGTAAGAAAAGGAGGAAAAATATGCAATAGAGACTGGATGTGGCCATCAAAGCCTGAAATATTTTCTATACAAGCCTTTACAGAAAGTTTGTTAACCCTGCACTAAATACATTAGGATGCAGACTTCCACTGAAATACACTGATTTGGTTACCTCAGAAATGTGGAGGAAGTACCTGGGAAATAGCCTACTGAAACTTAGTGTGTGGATGGATAGATAGAGATTTTATTTATTTATTTATTTATTTATTTATTTATTTATTTTTTAGACAAGGTCTCACTCTGTTGCCCAGGCTGGAGTGCAGTGGTGTGATCTCAGTTCACTGCAGCTTCCCAACTCCCAGGTTCAAGCGATTCTCCCACCTCAGCCTCATGAGTAGTTGGGACCACAGGCCTGCACCACCACGCCTGGCTAATTTTTTTTTGTTGGTGTATTTTTAGTAGAGATGGGGTTTTGCCACGTTGGCCAGGCTGGTTTCAATCTCCTGACCTCAAGTGATCCACCCACCTCAGCCTCCCAAAGTGCTGGGATTAAGGCGTGAGCCACTGTGCCCGGCTTCTGAAACTTAAAGTCACTTTTTAAAAAATTATGCAGGTGGGTCATGGTGGCTCACGCCTATAATTCCAGCACTTTGGGAGGTGAGGTGGGTGGATCACTTGAGCTCAGGGAGTTGGAGACCAGCCTGGTAACATGGCGAAACTCCCTCTTTACAAAAAATACAAAACAGCTGGGTGTGTTGGCATGCCTGTAGTCCCCATTACTAGGGAGGGTGAGGTGAAAGGATTGCTTGAGGGCAGAGGTCAAGGCTATAGTGAACCACAGAGCGAGACCGTGTCTCAAAAAAAATTATGCAGTTTGACATGAATTCTGCATGTTATATCAGTTTCTACATAAAATGCCACCCCCTTCATCTTCTCCCCAGAAACTTCACATAAACCTAGTGCTTCCAGAGATGATGTGCAGTTATCCTGTTACTAATCTTACCCTAATATACTGCTTTATGCTCCGATTTGAGCTCAGAAGTGGACCATTCTAGGGAAATATAGGAATAAATTCTTGTCTTTAGAGAAGAATTTCTTGTATTTTCATATTGGAACTGTAAGTAGACAAATATTGGAAATATAAATAGATGACAGAGACTGCTCTGTTGCCCAGCCTGGAGTGCAGTAGTGCCATCTCATCTCACTGCAAATTCTGCCTCCCAGGCTCAAGTGATCCTCCCACCTCGCTCTCTCTAGAAACTGGGACTACAGGCACACACCACCACACCCCAGCTAATTTTTGTATTTTTTATGTAGACAGGGTTTTGCCACATTGCGCAGGTTGGTCTCAAACTTCTGGGCTCGAGCCATCCACCCCCCTCAGCCTCCCAAAATGCTGGGATTACAAGTATGAGCCACCATGCCCTGGCAAAAATTATTTATAAAGGATTTTGTATAACATATTTAACCATCATAGAAAATATTGTTGATCTTAATGAGTGGTAAAAAGAAGAAAATATTATTTGCAGTCTCTGTTATTGGAAGGGAAAGAAAGCTGGAAGTAGAATCACTTGGAATTATCTTTTAATTCTTCCTACATTTTGGATATTCCAACTCCTGAACAAACTGTTCTAAACCAAACAAAACCTATTCCCTTCCCCCACCCCAAAAAACCCAGCCACCTCCTAAAATACATAGCTTTTGTAACTAGCAGTGAATAATAGTCTTTTTGTTATTGTGCTTCATTACTGGTTATACATTCTTTTGTATGTATCAATGTTATAAAAAATATAAATGAGTAAACTGAATGAATTGTGAACCGGTTATGTGAACTTACATTTTAATACCTGTATTTCATGGATAGTTTACTGTTTTAGGTTCAAAAAAAACGATTCCCAAAACTTGTCTCTTAAGTTACTCCTTTTTCCTTTTCATTGCTTTATGGACTTTATGTTTCTACCACTTTAAGTCAGTTAATTTGAGAACTTTCTCTACTGTTTATTTTAGGACTTCATCTGACAGGCAAATAGGTATATGGGCTTTGGTAGTTGGGTTAGGAATAACTAAAATTTAAAATACTAATAAAATTACTTATATTTTTAGCGTATTTGAAATACCTTTAATTTTGGCTTTTACAGCTTTTATAATTCTTCAGGCGAAGTAAATGAGCAAGCACTGAAGAAAATATTATCAAATGTCAAAAAGGTATTCTCTAATTTATCTTCCCTTTTTTTGGTATTATTTGCATTGTTTTTGGTTCTTAAAAACACACAGTACTTTGACAGAATTTTTAAGCAGTGTTTGACATCATAGTATCCTGTAAAGTAAGTAAGAAAAGGTTTGTTCTTCCCAGAAATTGAAAGTGGTTGCTCTGAAAATAAAACTAGTAATTAAAAATATTAATTTTGTTCTAATCCTTTCTTTGACTAATTAACATTTATCTCTTTCTCTTATATTTCCACCACACCTCTTCCCACTACCATTTATTCTGTGACCTAATCAGTTCTGTTATTTTACTTGGCTGTAGTGTTTTGGTTTTTTTTGTTTTGTTTTTTTTGAGACGGAGTCTTGCTCTGTCACCCAGGCTGGAGTGCAGTGGTGTGATCTAGGCTGACTACATCGTGCACCTCCTGGGTTCAAGCGATTCTCCTGCCTCAGCCTCCTGAATAGCTGGGATTATAGGCACCCGCCACCACACACCATGCCTGGCCTCAGTTATTATTTTTGATAGATACTGCAGGGATGTTTCCTATATAGCACTGAATTTGGATCCTCTATAACATACTTTGTGTTTGGTTAAAAGTTGTTGAATGATCAAAATGGATTTTTTCCCCAAACACAAAATTTTTTCAAGGCACTACTTTTTCTCTTAAAACTTTGATTTGAAAATAAAAATAGATTAATTGAAAGATGTTTCTTGGCTGGGCACAGTGGCTCATGCCTTTAATCCCAGTACTTTGGTAGGCTGCGGAGGGCGGATCACGAGGTCAGGAGTTCGAGACCAGCCTGACCAACACGGTGAAACCCCATCTCTACTAAAAACAGAAGAAAAAAAAAAAGCCGGGCGTAGTGGCGCATGCCTGTAATCTGAGCTACTCAGGAGGCAGAGGCAGGAGAATCACTTGAACCCGGGAGGCAGAGGTTGCAATGAGCTGAGATCGTGCCATTGCACTCCAGCCTGGGCAACAGAGCCAGACTGTCTCAAAAAAAAAAAAAAAAAAAAAAAAAAAAAAAAGATGTTTCTTTCAACAAATATGTTTGGCTGAAAATGCTTGTGTTTTTTCCCCCCAATTATTATTTGAGTATTTAAAATTGCACCTGTAAAAATGCCTTATTTTTAAAAACTAATTTTAATTTCCTCAATTCAAATGTGCAAATATATAATTTAGTTGCTGAAACTCACAGATCTCTAAGCAAAGTGATTGGTTTTCTCTTTGTCTTAAGTAAAGGAGAATTATTTTCCAAGTTAAAAAAAGGTCTAGTAGTATTAACACATTTGCTTAGTATGTTGTAGTTTACAAAATCCTTTAATGTGATCTTAATCTTGAAGCCAAGTTTGTCGGGTAGGTGATATCATTCCCATAAAAATTTTAGGTAAAAGCTGTAGGGTTCAGCTTAACTTATTTAACAAACCAAGTGTCCATACAGGCGATTAATTTATTTTCAGGGAGGGATTGCCTTTTAAGTGAATCAATGGCATTGATATTTTTTTCATTTAAATTTTGACTAAAGAGTGAGATTGCAAGATAGCAAATGCCATAAAAGAAACTACAGAAAGTCAAGAATTTATTTCTCCCTTTTAATCTATATTGATGAAAACCGTACCCTTTCAAATGAATGGAAAGTAAGTCAGTTTGTATGTTTTACAAAAGTAAAGCATATGATTAAATGTATTCTTTGTTTATATATGCCCCAAATCTTTCTAAATATTAAGAAAGCCATTTTAAGGTTGTTTATTTTATTTAATTATAATAGTAAGACATATCATTGTAACTATTAAGATGTATATCCTTTTTATTCTGTATTTCAGAATGTGGTAGGTTGGTACAAATTCCGTCGTCATTCAGATCAGATCATGACGTTTAGAGAGAGGCTGCTTCACAAAAACTTGCAGGAGCATTTTTCAAACCAAGACCTTGTTTTTCTGCTATTAACACCAAGTATAATAACAGAAAGCTGCTCTACTCATCGACTGGAACATTCCTTATATAAACCTCAAAAAGGGTAAATGTTGGCCAGTCACTGGCTGTATTAAACTAATAGAAAAATATATCTAATACTTAGTACTTTTTGCAGCTTACAAAGTGTTCTCATATATTGTCGCATCAGATTGTCACGATAACCTTCAGAAGTAGATCTTACCATCTGTTAATTTATAGGTGGGAAAATAATGGTCAGACAAGGAAATTAGAAGCCCAGTGTGGAATGATGACTTGTATTCTGGCACTGAAGATTTGCTCTTATTTACTACTTAAGGTGGAAAAAAACTTTTTTTTTAATTGATTGATAAAGGGTATAATTTAGAATTTAGAATTTAAGCCTAGATACTTCAGCAGTTTTTCTATAACTGAACAAAGAAACAAAGTAGCTCTTGATGGTCCAGTAAAATGAGTCTAACCAGGGACTCCTTACAGGTTTTATATATAGTAAACTACATTTTCGTGGAATATGAGAATTACGTTAAAAGAGTACCAACTAAGAATAATTTTATTGTTCATGGAAGATAGGGTAAATCTCAATACTGCCTTATTTATACATGTACTAATCAAAAGAGCCATTAAACTGTTTTTCCACACTATTATACTAAGCACATTTCACAGCTTTACATGTCATCTGGGCCCAGTGTGGTGACTCATACCTGTAATCCCAGCACTTTGGGAGGCCAAGGCAGGAGGATCACTGAGCAACATTAGGAGACCTCATCTCTACAAAAAACTTAAAAATTAGTCGGGTGTGGTGATGGGTGCCTGTAGTCCCAGCTACTTGGGAGGCTGAGGCAAGAGGATTGCTTGAGCACGGGAGGTTGAAGCTGCATTATTGAGCCATGATCGCACCACTGCACTGCAGCCTGGGAGACTGAGTGAGACCCTGTCTCAAAAAAAAAAAAAAACAGTTGTTTCAAGTCAGTAAATTCTATTTTGGATAAGTAGTAAAGAATGGGTTTTGGGGGGTGTATTTTTTTAAATCTTGTAGGGGACAAGTAATCTATTCCAGCAGGTAGATACTAATCTTTCTTTTCATTCTAAGTTTATACTCTAAAGTTTTATTTTGTCAGACTTTTTCACAGGGTACCTTTAGTGGTTGCCAATCTGGGCATGTCTGAACAACTGGGTTATAAAACTGTATCAGGTTCCTGTATGTCCACTGGTTTTAGCCGAGCAGTACAAACACACAGGTAAGATTCAACTGCTTTCTCACAAAACTTCTATTCATCTTTGAAATTAATTTTCTTATTTCTCAAACAACAGCAGAATAAAAATTCAAGGGAAAATTAATCCATTACTCAAGTAAACTAGGCTGTTTTTACCTTCCTCATACTCCTGTTACTGCTTGTGTACTTACAAGATACAAAAAAGGTAGTGGTTAGTCCAGGCATGGTGGCTCACACCTGCAAATCCCAGCACTTCGGGAGGCTGAGGCAGGAGGATCACTTGAGCTGAGGAGTTGGAGACTAGCCTGGGCAACACAGCAAAACCCCATCTCTACAAAAGAAAATTTAAAAAAATAGTACTGGGAGGATCTTGTTGCATATCCTGTAAAGTTTAGCATATCTATTCTAGGTTAGAATAAGTATATAGCCTAAAAATTATAATTTTCTAAGGCAATGGTTCGGATTAAAGGCGTGAAATTAGATATTTGTAAAAATCAGACTTTAGCCAAGACTCACTCATACTATAGGCTGCTTATATATAACTTTCTTTGTGGCCATTAAGTAAGGAAGTAATGTCAAAAACAGCAACACTGGTACTATAGGATACCTACTAGAGTGTAAACTTTGAGAATAAGGGGTTAGATTTTACTTACTTTTGTGTCCCCACAGTGCCAGCAGTTTAAAAACTGAATACCGTATTTCATTGATTCTGAGGTGCACATTTTCCTTTTTTTTTTTTTTTTTCTTTTAAAGACAGAGTTTCACTCTTGTTGTCCAGGCCGGGGTGTAATGGCATGATTTCAGCTCACTGCAACCTGTCCTTCCCAGGTTCAAGTGATTCTCCTGCTTCAGCCTCCTGAGTAGCTGGGATTACAGGCATGCACCACCATGCCCGGCTAATTTTGTATTTTTTTTAGTAGAGACGGGGTTTCTCCATGTTGGTCAGGCTGGTCTCAAACTCCCGACCTCAGGTGATCCGCCTGCCTCAGCCTCCCAAAGTGTTGGGATTACAGGCGTGAGCCACCGCGCCCGGCAAGATGCACATTTTTCATATTTATCTCTGACATTGGGATGTCCTACAAGTCATGCCTTCTTAGAATTACTTTCTTCATTATTTTATGGATCATAAAATAATGATGTCTCTTTCAAGTAAAGGTAACTTGAATTCAGTAAAATATTTTAAAAATTGACTCCGGTTCCCATTGCCAATAGAGACTTTTTTTCCTTCCTTCAATTTTTATCTATTTTTATGCAATCTTCCCCCATCCCCCGCCCATCCTCGCCTTTTTGGGAGACCTGGCAATAGTACTTAGGAGGCTAAAAAGTTTGCTAATGTGAAGATCAATGAAGTAGGTTTTGTGGTTGGTTTTTCTCTATACACATAGATTGACAAAATTATGGTTCCTACAAAACCAGTAAAAAGACTCTTCTATTGGTCCTTGACAATGAATAAGTTTTTCACCTTATCATTAAAATGGTTTTGTGTATTTGCCTGAGGAAATGGTAATTTTTTACAGCTCTAAATTTTTTGAAGAAGATGGATCCTTAAAGGAGGTACATAAGATAAATGAAATGTATGCTTCATTACAAGAGGAATTAAAGGTAAGTTAACATATCAAACACGTCAACCACTTCTAGATAGAGTTCATATCAAGTTAATGACTGACATTTTTTAGGATAACCTGACATCTTGATTAGATTTATACAGTTATGAGTTGCTTAATGAAGGCTATGTACCTTCTGAGAAATGTGTCATTAGGCAGTTTTATCATTGTGCAAACATATACTTACACAAACCTATATGTATTTTTACTTTTTAGTTTTCATAGGGAAAACCAAATGTCCCCAAATTATTATTGAATATCAGTCATTTCCCCTATTTGATCTGTAATGCCAATATCAAGTGCTATATATCAGCTTTCTATATGTGCTCCAATATAATCTTGTGAGACCCCATCATAGATGCTGTCCCTTGTTGAACGAGATGTCATTATTCCTTTAGCTTCATTGACTGAGTTGTATTTCTTCAGCTGTAGTTAACAAAGATTGCAATCTCAGTGGCTTACAACAACTATGGTTTAGTCTTGCTCACATTTTATCTTGGCTGTAGCTCTACTCCTTTTCTGAATGTCATCTTCATCCAGGATCCAGGCTGAAGGAGCAGCCCTTATTTGGGACATGTCCTCATGGCATAAGGCAAAGAGCAAGAAAGCTAGTGGA